>NC_000013.11:85897297-86050138 GCF_000001405.40 Homo sapiens
TGCCAAAAGAAGTGCATAGGACTATAGAGGAAAAGCCAAGGCTTTACCCAATATTTGCTGCAGTTGCACCCACTAGGGAAGATAAAAGGGATAAATGAAGAAAATAATAATAACATTATAAGGAAGGAAGTAAAAACAAAAAAAACTACTCAAATGAAAATAATTTTTAAAAAATTCCAAATGCCAGCATCTCCAGATGAGAAGCAACCAGTACAAATATTCTGAGACCATGAAAAATCTGAATGTAGTGACACCATCAAAAGATCGCACTAGCCCTCCAACAATAGTCCCTAACCAAAATGGAAATTTAGAAATGACATTAAAAAATCAAACATGAATTGCAAGGAAGCTTAATAAGATCCCAAACAAGGTTGAAAATCAAGAGGAAGAAACTTCTAAAGCAATCCGTAAAATAAAGGAAGAGATAAATATCTTAAATTATAGTCAATCAGAGCTTCTGGAGTTGAAAAATTCACTTAAGGAATTTCAAAATACAATTAAGTGGCTCATCAGTAGACTGGACCAAGCAAAACAAAGAAGTTCAGACTTTGTAAACTAGTGTTTTGAATCAACACACTCAGACAGAAATAATAAAAATAGAATTTAAAAAAATAAAGTTTTTTCAAAAAATATGGGATAGTGTACAGTGACCAAACCTACAAATTATTGGCATTCCTGATCAGAAAAAGAAAAAGTGAAAAACCTGAAAAATATATTTGAGAGAATTATTCAAAAAGCTTCTCTAATCTTGCTAGAGAGGTAGACATCTAGATACAAGAAATCCAAAGAACACTTGTGAGATACAATAAAAAATGAACATCACCAAGGAGTATAGTCGCCAGACTGACCAAGGTCAACACTATTTAAAAAAAAAAAATTAAAGTCGGCCAGAGAAAAAGAACAGGTTACACACAAAGGGAACCTCTTCAGGCTAACAGTAGACTTCTCAATAGAAGCCTTACAATCCAGGTGAGATTCAGGGCCTATTTTCAGCATTATTAAAAAAAATAAATTCCAACCAAGAATTTCATGTCCAGCCAAACTAGGCTTTATAATCAAGGGGAAAATAAAATATTTTCCAGACAAGTAAGTACTAAAAAAATTTGTTACCACTAGACCAGCCTTACAAGAGCACCTTAAGGTAGTTCTAAACATGGAAACAAAAGAATGATACCTGCTACCACAAAACACAGTTAAATACATAGTCTGGAGATTCTATGAAGCAACCACACAATAGAAACGACAGAGAAACCATCTAATAACTCCATGATAGAACCAAAACTTCACATATCAATATTTACATTGAATGTAAATGGTCTAAATGCCCACTCAAAAGGTTCACAGTGGCGTGTAGAAAAAGAAAAAAAAAAGACCCATCCATCTGCTATCCTTAAGAAATCCAGCTTACACATAACAACACCCATCGGCTCAAAGTAAACGGTTGAAGAAATATCTATCATGAAAACAGAAAAACAAAAAAGGGCAGGAGTCACTATTTTTATATCACTATTTTTATATCAGATAAAACAAACTTTAACCCAACAACAGTAAAAAAGGATAAAGAAGATCATTTCATAATGATAAAGGATTCAATTCAACAAGAGGACATCACTATCCTAAATATATATGCCCTCAATGTTGGAGTACCCAGATTCATAAAACAAGTACTTCTAGACCTACAAAAAGACATAGACAGCCACACAATTAGAGTGGGAGGCTTCAAAACCCCATTTACAACAATTGACAGATCGTCAAGACAGAAAACTAACAAATAAATTCTGGACTTAAACTCAACGCTTCACAAATTGGACCTAGGAGACATCGATGGAATACTCCATCCACCAACCACAGAATATACATTCTTCTCATGTGTACATGGAACATACTCCAAGATTGACCACAGACTTGATCATAAAGCAAGTCTCAATAAATTCTAATACATTGAAATTATACCAACCACACTTTCAGACCATAGTGGAATAAAAATAGAAATCAACACCAAGAAGATCTCTCAAAACAACACAATTACATGGAAATTAAACAACGTATTACTGAAAGACTTTTGGATAAAGAAATGAAAGGCAGAAAACAAACAATTCTTTGAAATAGATGAAAACAGTTACACAATTTTCAAAAATCTCTCGGATGAAGCAAAAGCAATGTTAAGAGGAAAGTTTATAGCACTAAATGCCTACCTCGAAAAGTTACATGATCTCAAATTAACATCACACCTAGAGGAATCAGAAAGACAAATACAAACTAAGCACAAACCTAGCAGAAGAAAATAAATACTAAAATCAGAAAGGAACTGAATAAAATTGAGACCCCAAAATTCATCCAATCAATGAAAAAACAGTTAGTTTTTGAAAGGATACATAAGATTAATAGATCAGTAACCAGATTAACAAGGTAAAAAAAAAAAGAGTGAAGATCTAAATAAGCACAATCAGAAATGACAAAAGTGACATTACAACCAATCCCACAGAAATGCAAAATATTTTCAGAGACCATTATGGACACCTTTATGCAAACAAAGTAGAAAATCTAGAGGAAATGAATAATTTCCTGGAAACACACAATCTCCCAAGATTGAATCAGGAAGAAATTGAAACATTGAATAGACCCATAATAAGTTTCAAAGGTGAATTAATAAAAAAAAACCTACCACCACCACCACCAACAAAAGGATCCAGACCAGTTGGATTCTACCAGACATACAAAGAAAAACTGGTACCAATGCTAATGAAACTATTCCAAATACATTGAGAAGCACAGACTTCTCCATGTTAGGGATGAGTTTTTGCTCCTCAATTTTTTGAAATAGTTTCTCCCTGTATTCTGTAAAACCAAAGTAACCCTGATACACAAACTTGGCAAAGATACAATTAAAATATAAGTTACAAACCAGTATCTCTGATGAACACAGACACAGAAATCGTCAACCAAATACTAGTAAACTGAATTCAAAATGTTAATATTGCTAGCACATCAAAATGTTTATTTGTTATGATCAAATAGGTTTCATTCCTGGGAAGCAAGTTTGGTTAAACATATACTAATAGATAAATGTGATTCAGCACATAAACATAATTAAAAACAAAAGCCGTATGATGATCTCAATAGATGGTGGAAAAAAAATTTATTTTAGACTTTATGTCATCGATTGAAAAAAATGTATGCCTTATGCATCATTAAAAAGAATAACCCCTGAAAATTAGACTGTGTTTTTCATGAATTGCAAAATGCATTAAGATTTTAGAAGTGTTAAAATGTGAGGTAATTTAGATATTATATCAATGAGATAAGGCATTTCACTTATTTTGTTATACATATTATCTTTCACAATGGCCTTCGTCCTAACAAATTCAATCTCTTTCAAAATTCTGTAAGTGGACTTTTAACTGTGACTCTTAACACAGTGCCTCTGGTACATTTTGTACTAGCATACGAGGTAATATTAGTGTAAGTCCTAAAGTCACACACTACCTTGGCAGAGATCCCCACTCACCACTTCTCAGTTATATGGCCTTGGCAAATTACCTAATATCCATAAGTTATTGTTTCTTTATCTATGAATATGGACATAATATTATCTAGTTACAGAACTGTTCTGAGGATGAAAAAATGATTGCTAGCTTCAAAATGAGACATATTTGCTCCTCTGATACATGAAAAACTTTTAAATAAGTTTTTGAGTATAGGAAGTATTATTAAATAAATTTCTACAACTTCAAATTCCATATACTCATTCCTAATAGTTATCTGCCAGAGATGCTCCTGTGGGTTCTCCTTTCAAAACTCAGTTGTTGTAAATTGCAGCCTCTACCTGACTTTACTCTCATAGAATTTCTCGCATCTCAATATGCTGACCTGGTCTGTGGAATTAAACTAAAAGAACTATCAAAATTATTATGTAGATACAGAGAAAAAAACACACTCATGATTGGGTAACAGATTATCTCATAAAAGTTGGGTGGTTTCATTTATTGTTTGTATCAACACAATTGAATGCGTCCTTATTTTGAGTTTTTAATTAATAGGTCAAGAGGCATACACTCTAATAATAAATTACTATATCATTTTTGGTATGTAACTTTGGAGTTCAAAGATTGAATGAGATGGCTATACTCAAACTTCTTCTGTTTCTATTCACTTATATAAATAAGTTTTGCCAGTACTTACACTTAGATAAATGCAAACTAAGAAGAGTATTAATGCTAAACCATGTTCAAATTTAGAGATAGGTAATATCCATCTTACTATTCACAAACTAACCAAAAAAGTTCCATTGTTATTATTTCTAATACAACTTTACTTTTTATGAATAATATTTATAAAATTTGTAATATATGTAGTTTTGAGCTACTTTCACTTATAAGGAATATAGTGATAACTCATATTTAAAAATATTTTTATAGTTTCAAAATCCTTTCTGGAGTCGGACGTGCTATCGTTGTGCCACGAAGCCCTTCAAAATCCTTTCTAACTGTTGCAATAAATTATGTGGGTGTTTACTTGAGCACAAAACACATAATACATTAGGAATAAACTTTTTGAGGCTAGTGAACTTGAAATATTATATTAAGGGAATAAAGTGATGGGAAATATTTAAGAAAGTTAAAGAAGAGCTTGTTTATTGTTTTAATGACAGTGGAGAGTATCAAATTGCTTGGCATTTCATTGACATTACATACCCTTAGTCTCCATTTTTAAAATTTGTAATGCTACCATTTCTAATATGCCAGAAGTTTAAATTTTTTTCTCTATTCACATATATGATAAAAATTTAGATGCCAATTTAAAAAACTAACAAAAAGGAAATATTTTAATAATTTTTTTGGAGTGTATATCAACAAAAATGTGAAGACCACTGATGTAGATAATACCTAACATCTGTTGCATGTTTTTTTTTTCAGTTATTAATTTCAAAAATGTAAATGTTTAGGCCAGGTGAGGTGGCTCGCACCTATAATCCCAGCACTTTGGGAGACTGAGGCAGGAGCATCACCTGAGGTCAGGAGCTCGAGACCAGCCTGAACAACATGGCAAAACTCCGTCTCTACTAAAAATGCAAACATTAGCCAGATATGGTGGTGGGCGCCTGTAATCCCAGCTGCTTGGGAGGTTGAGGCAGGAGAATCGCTTGAATCGGGGAGGCGGAGGTTGCAGTGAGCTGAGACTGTGCCATTGCACTCCAGCCTGGGCAACAAGAGTGAAACTCCATCTAAAAAAAAAAAAAAAAAAAAAAAAAAAAAACAAAAAAAAACAGAAAGAAAAAAATGTAAATGTTTTATCTTATTTATTTCTTGAAAGAATTTTGTCATTCTCATTTAATAGATGACAAAAGACAGGGGTGAGAAGTGAAGTAATTTGCCCAAGCCTGTACAGCTAATAAAATGCATGTATGAATCCAGTACTGGGATTGACTTCAGAGTACTCAGCCTTTGTGATGCTCAACCCTTATGACCCTCAACATTTATGAGGCACTTCCTTCCAGAGGATTTAATTTAGTAAGTACTAAGTAAAAGGCATTCACTATTTCAGTTATCACTAATGGTAATGATAGTTATGAGTGGAAGTGTGATCAATAAAAACTGTTAATTGTAAGATTAATCCTGGCCCAGTGCAGTGTCTCCTTGCCTGTTATCTCAACACTTTGAGGGGCCAAGGAGGAAGAATAACTTGAGCCCAGGAGTTCGAGGTCAGCCTGGGCAACATAGTGACATGTCAATTCTACCAAAAAAAAAAAAAAAAAAAAGCCAGGCATGTTGGTGCAGGTCTGTTGTCCCAGAACTTTGGGAGACAAGGCAGGTAAATCGAGCACAGGAGTATGAGACCAGTCTGGGCAACATGGTAAAACCCATCTCTACAAAAAATACGAAAAACTAACCAGGCATTGTGGCGCACGCCTGTAGTCCCAGCTGCTTGGGAGGCTGTCGGAGAATCACTGAGCCCAGGAGGTTCAGGGACTGCAGTTAGTTGTGATCGTGCCACTACACTCCAACCATGGTGAACAAATCTTTCTGGTGTTTAATTTTATATCTATATCTATATCTATATCTATAGATATGTATATATAGATATGTATATATCTCTCACATATATCATTGCAGATGTTATATATAATAATTACATATATATATATATATATATATATATATAAAATTGCAGAAGTCTGGGCAATAACAGATAACCCAAATTTATTAGATAAATAATTGAATGGATGAATGCCTTAATAAATAACTCTTAATATGCGTTTTCATTATTATATATCATTTTCCTTCGTATCGTCACAATATGTGCCTTGTGTTCAGGTTACCTCTTTTCACTATCACTTAGATATATGCAAGGGCTGAATGGTACAATTTATCCTGCCATCTTTGAAAGTGAGACATGATACAATATATTAATGTGCTTTTTAGGAAAAAATAACCTCGGATTTATTTTTTGTCATTATACTGATGCATTTTTTTCTACTGGTTCTTTACATTGGCCCATATTCCTTCTGGTATCTAGATACTGAATGAATATCTTGCTTGGCTTTGCATAGTATCTGTGGCTGTAGCTTTGGCAAAGTTAAGGCACAGAGGACAATTCTCTTAACAGTGCTTTATATCTTTTTCCCAGTACTTATTAAAATATTTTCTAAAATTACAAAACTAATGCATATTGTTTTATTAAGATGTTAATTCTTTTCATTAAGACAACAAAGGAAGTTTTGTTTTAATCCAAACCTCCAGTGTGTTTGGAAATTGCATGACCCTGTGTGAATAACAATATATGTGTGTTGGCAATTGAAGAGCTCAGACAATTCCTGTAATAAAGATATGTATTTAAATGTTCTTAAACTGTGTTTCTCAAATTTACTTGATTATACATCACCACTTAGAATTAATCTAATAGGCCGGGCACGGTGGCTCACGCCTGTAATCCCAGCACTTTGGGAGGCCGAGGCGGGCAGGGTCACAAGGTCAGGAGATCGAGACCATCCTGGCTAACACGGTGAAAACCCGTCTCTACGAAAAATACAAAAAAATTAGCTGGGCGTGGTGGCGGGTGCCTGTAGTCCCAGCTACTTGGGAGGCTGAGGCAGAATAATGGCATGAACCCAGGAGGCGGAGCTTGCAGTGAGCTGAGATAGCGCCACCGCACTCCAGCCTGGGTGACAAAGTGAGACTCTGCCTCAAAAAAAAAAAAAAAGAAAAAGAATCTAATGGACAGAAATTGAGACAAAAATTTTATATTGCTACCAGCAATATAAGAGTTTGGAAACTAATTAGAGCTAGCAACCCCATTACTAGGTTTATTTCCAAAGGAATATAAATTGTTCTATCATAAGGTCACATACATCCATATGTTACTCACATCACTGTTCACAATAGAAAAGACATAGAGTCAACTTCTATGCCCATTAATTGTATAATGGATAAAGAAAATGTACACATACACTGTGGAATACAACACAGCCATAACAAAGAATGGGATTGTGTCTTTTGCAGCATCATGGATGGAGCTGGAGGCCATGATTGCAAGTGAACTAATGCAGGAAAAGAAAACCAAATACCACATGTTCTCACTTAGTGGGTGATAAACAAACATTCAGAACACATGGACACAAAGAAGGGCACAAAAGACACCAGAGCATAATTCAAGGTGGAGAGTAGGAAGAGGGAGAGGATTGAAAAAAACTACCTATCAATACTATGCTTATTATCTGGGTGATGAAATAATGTGTACAGCAAACTCCTGTTATATGCAATTTACCTGTATAACGAGCCTGCACATGTACCACTTAACCTTAAATAAAAGTTAGAAAAACAGAAATAAAAATAAATAAACATTCCTAAAAATCACTAAATAAAGCTTTTTGGTAAATAGGAAAAAAATGTAATTTGTCTTTATATATAAATCATTCAAATAGCAAATACCTGCTGATCATTTGCTATTTGCCAGAGGACTTTTCTAGTTTCTGGAGGTCCAGCAATGAACAAACAAATAAAAATTATTATCTAAAAAACGTTTTAAAAAGGTAAACATTCCGGGCCCGGTGGCTCACACCTGTAATCCCAGCACTTTGTGAGGCTGAGGCGGGCAGATCACTTGAGGTCAGGAGTTCGAGACTAGCCTGGCCAACATGGTGAAACCCCATCTCTACTAAAAATACAAAAATTAGCCGGGAGTGTTGGTGTGCAAGTGTAGTCCCAGCTACTCACGAGGCTGAGGCAGGAGAATCGCTTGAACCTGAGAGGTGGAGGTTGTAGTGAGCCAAGATTGCCCCACTGCACTCCAGCCTGGGCAACGGAGGGAGGCTCTGTCTCAAAAACCAAAACCAAACCAAAACAAAACAAAACAAAATGTTAAGCAATCCAGCCAGGGAGCTTCAAAGATGTAAATCATGAATGATGTTCTTTTTCACAAGGAAATAAAATGATATTTTTTTACAAATCACATATGTGTTGTTCTGTGACCTTTAGCAGCTTCATTAACATCTCTGGCCTTTGCTTCTACCTCGAAGAGTTGTGCAGCAGAGTAAATGCCAGAATACATAAAAAGAACAGAGAAATGTGTCCTGCACATTGTGAGCCTAAGGAAGTTTTACTATGATGATGATGATTACTGAATTCTGAAATCTAATAATCTCTTTTATGTTCTCTTGGAAGCTTGAAAGCACAAAGAACTTATTTAATCCCACGACAATTTATATTTTAAAACATATTCTCTTTTTTATGGAATGTTGCTTCAGCAACAGTGTTTGATATATGTGGAGTAGATGAATTAATATTTTTATAAAGTTTAAAAATGCATCTTCATAACACTGTGCCTGCATGGATATATATTACTTTGCATCTATCTGTCTATCTATCGACCATCTATCTATTTATACATAGATATATCTGTGTATATATCTATCTACCTATCATTAATCTATCCCTATCTATTTGTATGATATAGCTGAGTAAGCCAACTTAAGAATATAGTTCAATATGCTTGTTGAAACACTTTTTGAAGATTCAAGAGAACTATGTGAATTCCCTTTTCTTTGTGTCTGTTCATATTTTAAAATCTGTGAGCTTTTACTTGTTTTTCTGTCATGGAGCTAAATAATAAGCTAGAGATTGCTGTTGTGGGAAACATAATGTCTGCTAAGCCATTTAGCAAGGTAAGGCTAGTCTGAAGTTTGTTCCTGAAATAGATTGGGATCTGTCATCACCTGCCTGATGTGATAGAGGCCCAACAAATCCTTTTATCTCATCTGTGCTAGTGAGCAAGACTTTGTTTAACCATGATGAGAAAAGGTCCCATGGTAAAAGGGAAATGGGTTTCCTGCAGAATCGAAACATCCAAATGACCATAAAAAGTGTATGCAGGTAAACATCATTTTTACAATATTGCTTTATAGCAGATTATAGGACTCACCTTGTGTGCCATAGACTACATGAGGGAATTAGAAAGAAACAGAGTTTCGGCTTCCAAGGAAGTCCGTCAGAATAACACAGCTAAAACTGTTGCTAGAAGTAATCCCTGAACAGAGCTTGAAATCGCATTGTTTTAAAGAACAACAACAAATATAAACCAGTAAAAAAAAATTGGCACAATTTTCTACAATGTATTTATTTTAGATAATAAAAAATACCTATTTTATATTCCAAGTATGTCTGTATTATAACACTGTGTTTCTTCAAGGGAATGATAAATCAATTTACTTTTAACAATAGCATATATTAAGGTAACATCTTAAGAAGAAAAATAGAGATGCTAGGTATTTGAGTAACAGTTTTAAACAATCATATTTTACTTATTATGAGATTTATTTTTCATGATTTAACATCACTCTATGTTATTAGAGTATTGATAAATAAAATTTCCGTGTGTGCATGTGTGTGTATTTCTAGACTTATAGAGAGTAAAGCCAATAGATGACAGTCAAAATCAAAATTAACAAAAGGGCTTAAATTATGCAGATAAGAAAAAAAGTTGCAATATTATGATAACAGAATAAGAAAGTTAGCACAAGTCATTACATTACCACATTAGTGTAATTCTAATTAATGAAAATATGCTTTCTTAGACTTTTTTTATGCCTTGTATTACTTGTTGTTTCCTCCACAATTATTATTATGCAAATAAAGTAATTATTTGATAATATCATTATAGTTACATGTAGACTGAAAAATTAGGCCAGGCATGGTGGCTTGCACCTGTAATCCCAGCACTTTGGGAGCCGAGTTAGGTGGATCACTTGAACCCAGGAGTTTGAGACCAGTCTGGGCAACATGGCAAGACTCTATCTCTTCAAAACACACAAAATTAGCAAGCTATGGTGATGTAGACCTGTAGTCCCAGCTACTTGAAAGGTTGAGGTGGGAGGATCGCTTGATCCCAGGAGATTAGGCTGCAGTGAGCTATGATCATACCATTGCACTCCAGCCTGGGCTACAGAGTGAGATCCTATCTCAAAATGAAAAAAAAAAAAAAGAAAAAAGAAAAGAAAAAATTAACATAAAAGAGTCTCCAAAAGAAAGGATATTGTAACAGTTTTTTAATGTATAATTTTTAGCAGCTCATACGGTAATTAGGATTAAATGTTTTATAATATTTGATTTTATAGAAATAGAATTATATTTGCTATCTATAATGCAAAATATAAATTTATAGAAAAAACAATCTTATCTGGAAAATGAGATATAATTCAATTGTAAAGACAATTTTCTTTGCAATAAAACAAATATGATCAGTAATTAAAATGTATTATCAATAAAATTGAATGAAATGAAAACATGCTTTTCTGAAAGTCAAAACATAAGACTGACCTTCTCTATAGTTGTCCTAGGCCAACCTATAGTTGTCCTAAAGTTGACTTAGGTCAACTACAGAGAAATAATGATTCAAATAATATGCAATTAATAAATTATGAACATGTTATTATTTTTATTTATCTTATTTGTTTTCTCAAAGGTCTGTTTCTTAAAATTAAAGGCTGTGTTGGAGCATATGTTCATGAATGGGTCTTGACAAGTGACACATCTTCTTTAGGGCATGAGCCATGGAAACAGCTATTTGTGATACAATATTCATGCACAAAATTAAAGATTTGTTTTGTTCTATTGAACCAATACCCATACAAAAAGGTGTTGTTTTCAATATTTCTCTTCTTTTTGCAAAACTAGGGGTAAGAAATAGATCCTGCTAGTTGTGCTGATGTTATCAATTAGGGTTTAACTAGAGAAGCAGAATTTATTTATACATAAAATATTCATAAAATGTATATTCTAAAATATGCTCTTACATTGATTCTATATATATTAGTTAAAAACAAGTTATAGATTATGCCTACATTGAAGGGGAGGAAACTGTTGAAGTGGGTTCCTAGAGTGTATCCACAATATCTGATTACAATATTTGAAAGATGAAGTAACAATTGAAAAATCGTCAGGCATAATTTCTCCTACATCTTAATAGCTACATCTTCAATGAATGATTCATCTCTTCCAAGGTTCTCACTACCACACTACATAATTCAGACCTCCCAACTTACAATCTCCCATGAGTTTTTAATCGATGATTATTTCCACATTAATGACATTCTTCTTGTTTTTCATCCATTTTGTTCCAATATCTAGGTTTTGTGAACTTACTATTCTATTCTCTTTTTTTTTGATTTTTAATCTGTATATTTTATTACATACCGTTTATAACTTTTAGATGGGCCCCCTTTGTGGAATTCACATTTACCAGAAATATGGTACTCATTGAAAATGGTGTATAAAATCAGAAAAGATACATCTAATGCATTATTGTCTCTTTCTTGTTCTTCCTCTCTTCTCTCTATTTCCCCTTTCTCTCCCCCTTCTCTCCCCATCTCTGTCACTTTTACTTTTCTCTTTTTACTCCCTCTTTCACTCTCTTTAAAATCAGAAGCATCCAGGCACAGTCGCTCACGCATGTAATCCCAGCACTTTGAGAGGCTGAGGTGGTGGAAAACCTGAGGTCTGGCATTTGAGACTGGCCTGGCAACCCTGTCTCTACTAAAAATACACAAATTAGCCATGTGTGGTGGTGAGCGCCTGTAATCCCAGCTATTCTGGAGGCTGAGGTAAGAGAATCGCTTGAACCTGGGAGGCAGAGTTTGCAGTGAGCCCAGATCGTGCCACTGCACTCAGCCTGGGTGACAGAGCAAAACTCCATCTCAAAAATAAATAAATAAATAATATACAAAAAAAATCAAAAGCAACATTTTAAACAAGGAAATCTGCAAAGTAAATCTTGGATATTTGTATTTTATATATATATAAACTTTAAATAAATAAATACATATATTATATATATATGAAAAGATAGCCATCGATCTACAAACCAAATTATGAATTAATGTTGAAATAATCAATTCTGAGCATTATATCTGAATAGCTATTTAGTTATTTCAGGTAAAATATTAATAATCCTAAGTTTCAATATAAAAAGTTTCTTTTGCCAAAAACTTTTCCGCCTCAAACAGAATTACCTATCTTGATAAATGTTACACAGTTTGTTGCTGAAACACTGGGAATTTGGACTAGTTCCCATTGCTCATAGCACAGAAAGTCAATCAATGTGACAGAAAGATGGTCAGGGAAGAAGGCTTTATTTGGATGCCACAGTCAAAGAGAACAGATTCGGTTCAAATTTGTCTCATCAACTGACTAAAATTTGGGGTTTACATGTAATAGCAAAGAAGAAATGTAACTCTGTGTGAGAAAACAGGAATTAGGGAGGAGTAGGGAAGAGAAGTTGGTCCGTAGGAAGCAGGTGATCAGTTAGGCAGTCATAACAGGTGAGGGATCTGGCATCTCATTGTATAGATGAAGTGGTCTGTTAAGTTTCACTTCCTTGATACTATCTGAGAGGCCTGATGATTGATTTCCAGAGAAAGGAACTCGGATAACACAAATGTAAGTTGCTCAAGTTTTAAGATTGGGAAGGTCAATTTCTACCTTCATTTAACAAACTGTACACACTAGTTCTGTGGAACAATTGGCCCAGTTTCAAATTGACAGACTAATCTTCCTATAACACAAATATAAGCATTCCAGCATCTTGTGTAAATTTGTTTAATAGCTCCCATTGTCATTGACATGAAGTTCAAGTGTCTTAAGGAGCACCATAACACCCTTTTTGATCCAACTCCTACCTTCATTTATGTAGCTGAAGCTCCCTTCCCTTCCAACGTACACAAGATATTACATCCTTTGTTGCTTTCTCTTGCCTCTGGGTTCATAGGCTTGTGATGCTTTTTAACAGGAACAGGCTGACTCTCCATATATCCTTGAAAATATTCATGACCCCAACCCATATAGCTTTTAGAACTCTGCCATAGAACAATTGATAATAATTTTACACTAAACCTTTATAAATACATGTTGAAGGTAAGAGAAAATTATAGTCCCTAATTATTCTGCCCTGCAGAACAAATTATTTCACTATGATAAAATACTATAGAGCAAAAGTTGTATACAATGGCATTAGGATATTTTGTGTGTGTTTGTAAAAAAACAAAAACAGACATCATGCAGGTCGTGTTCCTATAATATATATATTTTATCTTTGTTTTATTATAGTATTGAGAGATTCAATATTAAACATTAAAGAGTGTTAGTTGATTTTGAGAAAAGTTATAAGCAGATACAGACTCAGCATGCCCACTTCATTTTTACTGTCTTTTCCCTCCTCTTATTTAGTTTGTAATATTCACTTTTGCCTGACAAAGATAGTTGTTTAGAACACATGGTCAATAACAGGAAGTTCCAGATAAACTGTACCATAACTGTAAGCTTGTCATATTTTCTCATAATTACGTGACCATCCTGCTGAGAAAAGCACTTGCTGGGGAATGCTCATTACATTTCTTTTCACCAAGGCTACTATTACACCCTTCCCATTGTTGTTGTGCAGGATACCATAAGAGAATCTGATTTCTTACTGCAGATGCTGTTACTAGCTTGAGGGGAAAATATATTTTTTAAGTGTTGCAAATGGTTTGTTTCTAAAGGAATCTAAGAAAAGACATTTGTTTTTCCTAAGCACTCCAGATACTTTGTGTATCAGATTTATGGCTGCTAAACATACTTGTTTATTAAGAGTATATGGTTATAGGTATTCACATTAATAAATCGAGAAATACAATTTATTGAATGATTGTTTTGAACAAAGCATGATTCTGGGCATTAAGGGAATAAAATTCTGCATAATACATAATGTCTTTTATTTAAGAGACCACAATCTATTAAGGATTTGTGTAAACACATCCTCTAAATCATGAGAACCTCAATGTAAATTGTTAATTGTCTGAGACAAAAATTATTAGAAAAAAAATGAATAAAATTAGACAGTATTAACTAAATTTATGATGGTATCAATAGTATTACTACCCCCTTAATGTCTTTAATATTTTACCATTCATACTTTTGTTTATTATATAATTTTAACAGAAAGCATATAAATATAATTTTTCTTTTTTATTTTCTTATTATTATACTTTAAGTTTTAGGGTACATGTGCACAACATGTAGGTTAGTTACATATGTATACATGTGCCATGTTAGTGTGCTGCACCCATTAACACATCATTTAGCATTAGGTATGTCTCCTAATGCTATCCCTCCCCCCTTCCCCCACCCCACCAGAGTCCCCGGTGTGTGATGTTCCCCTTCCTGTGTCCATGTGTTCTTATTGTTCAATTCCCACCTATGAGTAAGAACATGTGGTGTTTGGTTTTTTGTCCTTGCATTAGTTTGCTGAGAATGATGGTATCCAGCTTCATCCATGTCCCTACAAAGGACATGAACTCATCATTTTTCATGGCTGCATAGTATTCCATGGTGTATATGTGCCACATTTTCTTAATCCAGTCTATCATTGTTGGACATTTGGGTTGGTTCCAAGTTTTTGCTATTGTGAATAGTGCCGCAATAAACATATGTGTGCATGTGTCTTTATAGCAGCATGATTTATAATCCTTTGGGTATATACCCAGTAATGGGATGGCTGGGTCAAATGGTATTTCTAGTTCTAGATCCCTGAGGAATCACCACACTGACTTCCACAATGGTTGAACTAGTTTACAGTCCCACCAACAGTGTAAAAGTGTTCCTGTTTCTCCACATCCTCTCCAGCACCTGTCATTTCCTGACTTTTTAATGATCGCCATTCTAACTGGTGTGAGATGGTATCTCATTGTGGTTTTGATTTGCATTTCTCTGATGGCCAGTGATGATGAGCATTTTTTCATGTGTCTGTTGGCTGCATAAATATCTTCTTTTGAGAAGTGTCTGTTCATATCCGTCGCCCACTTGTTGATGGGGTTGTTTTTTTTTTTCTTGTAAATTTGTTTGAGTTCATTGTAGATTCTGGATATTAGCCCTTTGTCAGATGAGTAGCTTGCAAAAATTTTCTCCCATTCTGTAGGTTGCCTGTTCACTCTGATGGTAGTTTCTTTTGCTGTGCAGAAGCTCTTTAGTTTAATTAGATCCCTTTTGGCTTTTGTTGCCATTGCTTTTGGTGTTTTAGACATGAAGTCCTTGCCCATGCCTATGTCCTGAATGGTATTGCCTAGGTTTTCTTCTAGGGTTTTTATGGTTTTAGGTCTAACATTTAAGTCTTTAATCCATCTTGAATTAATTTTTGTATAAGGTGTAAGGAAGGGATCCAGTTTCAGCTTTCTACATATGGCTAGCCAGTTTTCCCAGCACCATTTATTAAATAGGGAATCCTTTCCCCATTTCTTCTTTTTGTCAGGTTTGTCAAAGACCAGATAGTTGTAGATATGTGGCATTATTTCTCAGTGCTCTGTTCTGTTCCATTGGTGTATAGCTCTGTTTTGGTACCAGTACCATGCTGTTTTGGTTACCGTAGCCTTGTAGTATAGTTTGAAGTCAGGTAGCATGATGCCTTCAGCTTTGTTCTTTTGGCTTAGGATTGACTTGGCAATGCGGGCTCTTTTTTGGTTCCATATGAAATTTAAAGTAGTATTTTCCAATTCTGTGAAGAAAGCCATTGGTAGCTTGATGGGGATGGCATTGCATCTATGAATTACTTTGGGTAGTATGGCCATTTTCACAATATTGATTCTTCCTACCCATGAGTGTGGAATGTTCTTCCATTTGTTTGTATCCTCTTTTATTTCCTTGAGCAGTGGTTTGTAGCTCTCCTTGAAGAGGTCCTTCACATCCCTTGTAAGTTGGATTCCTAGGTATTTTATTCTCTTTGAAGCAATTGTGAATGGGAGTTCACTTGTGATTTGGCTCTCTGTTTGTCTGTTAATGGTGTATAAGAATGCTTGTGATTTTTGCACATTGATTTTGTATCCTGAGACTTTGCTGAAGTTGCTTATCAGCTTAAGGAGATTTTGGGCTGAGACGATGGGGTTTTCTAGATATACAATCATGTCTCTGCAAACAGGGACAATTTGACTTCCTCTTTTCCTAATTGAATGCCCTTTATTTCCTTCTCCTGCCTAATTGCCCTGGTCAGAACTTCCAACACTATGTTGAATAGGAGTGGTGAAAGAGGGCATCCCTGTCTTGTGCCAGTTTTCAAAGGGAATGCTTCCAGTTTTTGTCCATTCAGTATGATATTGGCTGTGGGTTTGTCATAGATAGCTCTTATTATATTGACATACATCCCATCAGTACCTATTTTATTGAGAGTTTTTAGCATGAAGGGTTGTTGAATTTTGTCAAAGGCCTTTTCTGCATCTATTGAGATAATCATGTGGTTTTTGTCTTTGGTTCTGTTTATATGCTGGATTACATTTATTGATTTGTGTATGTTGAACCAGCCTTGCATCCCAGGGATGAAGCCCACTTGATCATGGTGGATAAGCTTTTTGATGTGCTGCTGGATTCGGTTTGCCAGTATTTTATTGAGGATTTTTGCATCAATGTTCATCAAGGATATTGGTCTAAAATTCTCTTTTTTTTGTTGTGTTTCTGCCAGGCTTTGGTATCAGGATGATGCTGGCCTCATAAAATGAGTTAGGGAGGATTCCCTCTTTTTCTATTGATTGCAATAGTTTCAGAAGGAATGGTACCAGCTCCTCCTTGTACCTCTGGTAGAATTCAGCTGTGAATCCATCTGGTCCTGGACTTTTTTTGGTTGGCAAGCTGTTAATTATTGCCTCAATTTCAGAGCCTGTTATTGGTCTATTCAGAGATTCAACTTCTTCCTGGTTTAGTCTTGGGAGGGCATATGTGTCGAGGAATTTATCCATTTCTTCTAGATTTTCTAGTTTATTTGCGTAGAGGTGTTTATAGTATTCTCTGATGGTAGTTTGTATTTCTGTGGGATCAGTGGTGATATCCCCTTTGTTATTTTTTATTGCGTCTATTTGATTCTTCTCTCTTTTCTTCTTTATTAGTCTTGCTAGTGGTCTATCAATTTCAATTTTTTTGATCTTTTCAAAAAACCAGCTCCTGGCTTCATTGATTTTTTGAAGGGTTTTTGTGTCTCTCTTTCCTTCAGTTCTGCTCTGATCTTAGTTATTTCTTGCCTTCTGCTAGCTTTTGAATGTGTCTGCTCTTGCTTCTCTAGTTCTTTTAATTGTGATGTTAGGGTGCCAATTTTAGATCTTTCCTGCATTCTCTTGTGGGCATTTAGTGCTATAAATTTCCCTCTACACACTGCTTTGAATGTGTCCCAGAGATTCTGGTATGTTGTGTCTTTGTTCTCATTGGATTCAAAGAACATCTTTATTTCTGCCTTCATTTCATTATGTACCCAGTAGTCATTCAGGAGCAGGTTGTTCAGTTTCCATGTAGTAGAGCGGTTTTGAGTGAGTTTCTTAATCCTGAGTTCTAGTTTGATTGCACTGTGATCTGAGAGACAGTTTGTTATAATTTCTGTTCTTTTACATTTGATGAAGAGTGCTTTACTTCCAACTATGTGGTCAATTTTGGAATAGGTGTGGTGTGGTGCTGAAAAGAATGTATATTCTGTTGATTTGGGGTGGAGAGTTCTGTAGATGTCTATTAGGTCCGCTTGGTGCAGAGCTGAGTTCAATTCCTGGATATCCTTATTAACTTTCTGTCTTGTTGATCTGTCCAATGTTGACAGTGGGGTATTAAAGTCTCCCATTATTATTGTGTGGGAGTCTAAGTCTCTTTGTAGGTCACTAAGGACTTGCTTTATGAATCTGGGTGCTCCTGTATTGGGTGCATATATATTTAGGATAGTTAGCTCTTCTTGTTGAATTGATCCCTTTACCATTATGTAATGGCCTTCTTTGTCTCTTTTAATGTTTGTTGGTTTAAAATCTGTTTTATCAGAGACTAGGATTGCAATCCCTGCCTTTTTTTGTTTTCCATTTGCTTGGTAGATCTTCCTCCATCCCTTTATTTTGAGCCTATGTGTGTCTGCATGTGAGATGGGTTTCCTGAGTACAGCACACTGATGGGTCTTGACTCTTTATCCAACTTGCCAGTCTGTGTCTTTTAATTGGAGCATTTAGTCCATTTACATTTAAGGTTTATATTGTTATGTGTGAATTTGATCCTGTCATTATGATGTTAGCTGGTTATTTTGCTGGTTAGTTGATGCAGTTTTTTCCTAGCCTTGATGGTCTTTACAATTTGGCATGTTTTTGCAGTGGCTGGTACTGGTTGTTCCTTTCCATGTTTAGTGCTTCCTTCAGGAGCTCTTTTAGGGCAGGCCTGGTGGTGACAAAATCTCTCAGCATTTGCTTGTCTGTAAAGTATTTTATTTCTCCTTCACTTATGAAGCTTAGTTTGACTGGGTATGAAATTCTGGGTTGAAAATTCTTCCCTTTAAGAATGTTGACTATTGGCCCCCACTCTCTTCTGGCTTGTAGAGTTTCTGCCAAGAGATCAGCTGTTAGTCTGATGGGCTTCCCTTTGTGGGTAACCCGACCTTTCTCTCTGGCTGCCCTTAACATTTTTTCCTTCATTTCAACTTTGGTGAATCTGACAATTATGTGTCTTGGAGTTGCTCTTCTTGAGGAGTATCTTTGTGGCGTTCTCTCTATTTCCTGAAGTTGAATGTTGGCCTGCCTTGCTAGATTGGGGAAGTTCTCCTGGATGATATCCTGCAGATTGTTTTCCAACTTGGTTCCATTCTCCCCATCACTTTCAGGTACACCAATCAGACATAGATTTGGTCCTTTCACATAGTCCCATATTTCTTGGAGGCTTTGTTAATTTCTTTTTATTCTTTTTTCTCTAAACGTCTCTTCTCTCTTCATTTCATTCATTTTGTCTTCCATTGCTGATACCCTTTCTTCCAGTTGATCGCATCGGCTATTGAGGCTTGTGCATTTGTCATGTAGTTCTCGTGCTGTCTTTTTCAGCTCCATCAGGTCCTTTAAGGACTTCTCTGCATTGGTTATTCTAGTTAGCTATTTGTCTAATTATTTTTCAAGGTTTTTAACTTCTTTGCCATGGGTTCGAACTTCCTCCTTTAGCTCAGAGTAGTTTGATCTTTTGAAGCCTCCTTCTCTCAACTCATCAAAGTCATTCTCCATCCAGCTTTGTTCCATTGTGAGGAGCTGCATTCCTTTGGAGGAGGAGAGGCACTCTGATTTTTAGAGTTTCTGATTTTTCTGCTCTGTTTTTTCCCCATCTTTGTGGTTTTATCTACCTTTGGTCTTTGATGATGGTGACATACAGATGGGTTTTTGGTGTGGATGTCCTTGCTGTTTGTTAGTTTTCCTTCTAACAGTCAGGACCCTCAGCTGCAGGTCTGTTGGAGTTTGCTGGAGGTCCACTCCAGACACTGTTTGCCTGGGTATCAGCAGTGGTGGCTGCAGAACAGCGGATATTGGTGAACCGTAAATGCTGCTGCCTGATCGTTCCTCTGGAAGTTTTGTCTCAGAGGAGTACCCGGCTGTGTGAGGTGTCAGTCCGCCCCTACTGGGGGGTGCCTCCCAGTTAGGCTACTCAGGGGTCAGGGATCCCCTTGAGGAGGCAGTCTGCCGATTCTCAGATCTCAAGCTGTGTGCTGGGAGAACCACTACTCTCTTCAATGCTGTCAGATAGGGACATTTAAGTCTGCAGAGGTTACTGCTGCCTTTTGTTTGTCTGTGCCCTGCCCCCAGAGGTGGAGCCTACAGACGCAGGCAGGCCTCCTTGAGCTGTGGTGGGCTCCACCCAGTTTGAGCTTCCCAGCCACTTTGTTTACCTACTCAAGCCTCAGCAATGGCGGGCACCCCTCCCCCACCCTCACTGCTGCCTTGCAGTTTGATCTCAGACTCCTGTGCTGGCAATGAGCCAGGCTCCATGGACGTAGGACCCTCTGAGCCAGGTGCGGGATATAATCTCCTGGTGTGCCGTTTGTTAAGCCTGTTGGAAAAGTGCAGTATCAGGGTGGGAGTGACCCGATTTTCCAGGCGCTGTCTGTCACCCCTTTCTTTGACTAGGAAAGGGAATTCCCTGACCCCTTGCACTTCCCGGGTGAGACGATGCCTCTCCCTGCTTTGGCTCATGCACGGTACACTGCACCCACTGTCCGGCACTCCCCAGTGAGATGAACCCAGTACCTCAGTTGGAAATGCAGAAATCACCTGTCTTCTGCTTCGCTGACGCTGGGAGCTGTAGACTGGAGCTGTTGCTATTTGGCTATCTTGGCTCCACCCCCTAAACTTCTCTTAAGTGTTAGGCTTGGAGTATGCAAATGCTAGTGGCTCTGAATGTTGGTGCTTTCATCCTGAAAGGATTCAACTGTCTCTTCATGAGAAGATGGATTACAGGCATATCACCTTAATTCAGATGAAACTAGTCTATTGCAAGGATTTCTCTAACCACAAACTATAACCCTTTTAGAGACTTAACTGAATGCCTGGCATACTTACTAAGTTTTCTCTTTCTTGGCCCCTGAATTCAAGCTTTTTGGTTTTGCAGCATTCCTATGAAAGTGTCAAATACTCTGCTTAACTTTTCAGCTTCTTAAATAGTTGCTTCCTCTTCATTCCCCTGTCTTTCTCTGTCGCTCAAAAATTCAAGGCATGTAACAGAAGCCCCAGGCTTTATTGTGTACAAAATATTGAGCTACTTTTCACTGTTTCTTTTTCTCCAAGATTATAGTAGCCTGGGACTCCAATGTTAGCCTGCTCAGCACAACTAGATCCAGATGATGGTTGTACCCTGTAAGTTATCAGAAAATAGCAGAAGCAAATGCAATGTTCATTTCAATGTCTCCCTTCCCTCCAGATCCTTACTGCTCATGGTCTGTGTTTGTTGCTAGCCATACTAATAAGAGTAGTACATATGAGACATTTAGGAGAGGGATATATGTTTATTTATGTTTATGAGACATTTGTCGTGCTTGGATGTTTAACATAGTATTTAACATTTACATACAGGATGAGGCCTATAGGTGTTCTAATAGTCAAATCAACCAATTTCAATAAGAGGTGATGCAAAAGGATTATACAGTTTATGTATTTTAGAATCATTTCTAAAACTAAGAAATAATAAATGTAACTATGGCCATTTATTTTGAGGCTCTGAATCTCTTTTGTATTTTCACAAGATAATTTTATAACAGAAGTGATATTATTTCCATGGTTACTCAGTATGTTAATGCTTGTGCTGGTTAAAGCTTGTGTGTCAGATATCGACTAGATTTTCTATTTATAGAAACAGACACTAGCACAAAATTATTTATGAACTTCCCAAATTTAGCACAAATCATGTAGTTAAATGTAAAATGCAGATTATTTTTTGAGTTCTCATTATCTTTCTGAGGCATCTTTAATTGCTTTCGGTTAAGTGTTCTGAATCTCTAAGTTTCATCTATTAGTCTTGGCAGCTGATGATATGGCTAGGTTTGCTGTATAGCCTCCATTAAAAAAATGAAGAGACCCAACTGATGCTTTACAGTTTTAGAAAAATGAATGACATTAACTAGAAATGGCCCTAATTATTGCAAATCACATAAGAAAATTATGCTACGACAACCTGTTATGACCTTCATGTTAGATCTTGAACATTTGGTCTTCAAACTATTTTTCTAATATTTGCTGGCTTTTCTCTATTTGTTTTTAGACAGTTTGATAGGCCCTCAGGATATTTAAAGTGCTTAAATATAAAAAATATTTTTTACTTTCCTTTCTTCAGACCTACTGTGCATTATTTTTATATTATTCTAATTAAGTAAAATGTGTTATCTGACTTTAAAAAACAAATTGGTCTTTATTGTAGATCATTTATTTATGAAGATAGAAGAGATTATTATATCAACTTGATGCTTAATTTTGCTTTATTTAACAAAATTTATTTTCTATTTTGCAACTGAAAGACTAATGAGCTCTTGTTCTTGTCTATATGAAAATGTGAACTAAAAAGTACTATTTTCTGAAAGAAAAGGATCCAGTCATAAATTGTGAATGAGAGACAACAGTGACTATTTTTAACTTATAACATATAAATATTAGCTTAAGCCCACACTGATTTCTCAGTATAAAAAGTATCATATGTGGGAGTGGAGGCAGTTAAATATGAAATACGAGGCTTATATTTTCAAGGAAATATGAAATTTACACTCAAAGTTATTATTCTGCAATCTGGGGTCACTGTTAATTCTATATATTGTCAGGAAATAAATACTAAACAGTATTTTTACACACAGTAGAATATAGTAAACAAAATGTATGTCTTGTTGCTACTTGTTAAATATCCATGTCTCTAAATTAGTTTATAATCTTAGTAGGATGTTCCTTTTGTAACTAATTTTTAATAATGGAGATTTTTACATGAGATACACTTATTATCTATTTTAGCAAAAAATAGCTTATTGAACAAATAAACTTTAAATAAATTGAGTAATTCTTTTGTATATGGAGAGATAGTATAACTAATGATTAAGAGTTCTGTAGAAATTGACTCAAATCCAGAATTGTGTTTATATTTTTGTTTTGCCATTGACCATATTTATAACTTTGAGCAAAAGTCTCGGTATATCTCTGTCTGATATACATCAGTTTAATAATATTACCTATAACACAGGTTCTTTGTGAAGATAAATAAGCCAGTTTTTCTCAACCTTTTCTATCCTTTATTGTCCTACCAAGGAGCTTCTCTAGGCATTTTTCCCAATCCCTCAGCATTAAATTTTATGCCTCATGCACACTATATATCTGTTTATCATCTGTGGTCCTATGGAGGGTCACAAACTATTGTTATAGCTAACACTTTTTTCTTTATTCCTGCCCCAGAACTAATTTCTGCCTCTTGGGTTCATATTGTCCATGTTGAAAAGATTTGAAATAAACTAAATTCTCATGGAGTGCTTAAACTCTTACCACTCAATATATCAGTATATGTTAGATATTATTACTGTTATTATAATTAATATAGACAGTAGATGCACCTTCATAATACTTGAATATATATTTATATATTGGCATATATAGTTATGAATATATTTTTATTAGTATTTTTTATTGAAGAGGCATATTCCATGTGTATGAAATTAAAATTTCACTGAATTTTCACTGACTCTAATATGGATTTATAGTTTTTTTAATTTTAGACGCAATGAGAATATTTTAATCCACATATAGTAACAAATTTATTCGCTATGGAGACATGTAATGGTGCTGTAAATAGAAATACAATATAATTTTAGGGTAACTAAAACGTTTGGTAGGGAATGAATAAATTCTATGCATTCAGACCAATTCTACTATGGTAATATTTAGGAGCAATCATATCATAGAAACATAAAATCATAATTCAGAAAAATGTAAAAAGTGAGTAATACAATTATACTTTTCTTAAGTACAGTAAGGGCTGTCAGTCAGCATGGACTGATATGATGCACACCATTTATCAATGTGTCCTGTTACATGGCTGAGTGAGACCCTTTACAAATGAGACTCTAAAAATAACTCTTACAAGTGGAGTAAACTCTGCATTAATCATAATCCAAAAGGTAATTCACAAATTTGGATTTAGTATTAAGGATTCTCCTCTCCTTCAGTTGAAGGCAACACAGTGAGATAAAGAATAGGAAATCATAAAAGATAAATAAATTAAGATAAAGAGGCAACATTGAAAGATGTCAATAAAAATGTCATGGGTTATCCTGGATAATAAAATAGCATGGCAGAGAAACAATATTCAAAATGATGATGACTGAGAATTCTTTAGAAATGAAGTCATAACTCTTCTAAGAAAATGAGATCATGGAGGCTTGGGCAATACAACTAAAGAAATATATGCATATAAATAAAATTACATTTTCATTAAACTGCCAAACATTAAGAATAGTGAGAAAATTGCATATGTACTAAAGAGAATAATAGTATACTTTGAAATAAATTTTAGACCGTAATGACACATCTCATTAACAATAAAATAACAACAAAAAGTAGTGAGAAAATTGAGTAGCATGTTTAAACTATCAGAAGAGATGAGAGGGAATTGATCTACAATACTAGAATTTTATGTGCAGACAAATCCACATCTGGAAATGAAATCACAGTAAGATATTTTCGGGAGACCAAAACATAAAAATTGCTAGAATAAATTTGCCACGAACGAGTAACTAGACATTAGAAATTGACTACATAGATATAGTAATACTAAAAGTGCTGAAAACAAGCAAACACAACACACACATTCTCAATTCTTTTTTTTTCTATCAAATATCTTCAACTTTTTAAAAAATTCCACTGGTTGGTATTTCTCAATAAGTTGCTGTGGTTGGCATACCATATAGGTGGATTTTAAAGTACCAAAGTAATTAAAACAAAAAGAAAAGCTGTAAGTAATGCTTATGACTTATATTTAAAATGATGAAAAAAAAAAAAACAGGCCAGGCGTGGTGGTTCACACCTGTAATCCCAGCACTTTGGGAGGCCGAGGCGGGCAGATCACGAGGTCAAGAGTTCAAGACCAGCCTGGCTAATAGGGTGAAATCCTGCCTCTACTAAAAATACAAAATTTGCTGGGCGTGGTGGTGCCCACCTGTAGTCCCAGCTACTCGGGAGGCTGAGGCAGAAGAATCGCTTGAACCTGGGAGGCAGAGGTTGCAGTGAGCTGAGATCACGCCACTGCACTTTAGTCTGGAGACAGAGTGAGACTCCGTCTCAAAAAAAAGAAGAAAAAAAAGATAAAAAACAAAAGTCGTAATGATATTGGAATAAATTTACTTGCATAGCTGTTAGTTTCAGATGGTTAGTCATATTTCTTCTAACTAATAAGAGCAGAGCATCTGAGTATAGAAGGAAGCACAGCGAATTCATGTTTTTTTATTTTATTAACTAGTGACTCTCACATTGCAGACTTCATTAGTTAATAGAGTAACGATATTATAGTTAGAAAACGAATCTTCAGACTTGGGCCTCATATTTTATACCTATAGATTTAGCTGCATCAAAATATCCATGAGTTATCTTTGATAAATAACTACATCATAGTCCTAGCATGATTTTCTGACTATTTTTGTTTCCCTTTATTTAAATAATATAAATTGACTTTCAATATAAACATCTCTACATTGGCATTTCTTATTTCTTGTGATTTAATTTTCATTAATTCTTAGTCTGGTTTCACTGGTATTTCCTCTTTTATTGCCGAGAGAATACTGATATACAGGTATAACTTGGAGAAATCACGGGTTAGGTTATAAACCACCACAATAAAACAAATATTGAGGCCAGGTGCAGTGGCTCACACTTACAATCCTAGTACTTTGGGAGGCTGAAGCAGGTGGATTGCTTTAGCCCAGGAGTTTGAGACCCCTTATGAACATAGCAACAATCTGTCTCTATAAAAAATAAATAAATAAACATTTTCTAAAAAGAAATTACTCCTTTATCTATGGGCTGCAGAATGGATATTATGTTAGCAGGCATGAAAACCACATTAGTCTCCTTGTACACCTCTGTCCGAGCTTTTGGATGACAGGTGCTTTGTCTGTGAGCAGTAATATTTTGAAAAGGAATCTTTCTTTCTAAGTCGTAGTTCTCAAGAATGAACTTAAGATATTCAGTAAACCTTACTGGAAACAGATATGTGGTCATCTAAGCTCTGTGCTTATAGAGCACAGACAGGGTAGGTTTTGCATAATTCTTAAGGTCTCTAGAATTTTCAGAATGGTAAATGAGCATTGGCTTCAACTTAAAAGTCGCCAGCGGCATTAGCTTTAACAAGAGAGCAAGGCTGTCATTTGAAGCTTTGAAGCCAGGCACTGACTTCTCTGTCTATGAGAGTCTTGGATATCACCTTCTTCCAATAAAAGGCTCTTCAGTCTACAACAAAAATCTGCTATTTAATGTAGCCATCTTCATCAATTGTCTTAGCGAGATTTTCTGGACAATTGCTGTGGTTTCTCCATCAGTACTTGCTGCTTCATCTTGCACTTTTATGCTGTGGACATGACTTCTTTTCTTAAACCTCATGAAGCAACCTCCACTAGCTTCAGACTTTTCTTCAGTAGCTTCCTAACCTCTCTCAGCCTTCATAGAATTGGAGAGTTAGGGCCTCACAATGAATTAGGATTCAGTGTAAGGAAATGTTGTGGCTAGTTTGATCTTCTATCCAGACTACTCAAACTTTCTTATATCAGCAACAAGGCTGTTTCTTTTTTATCATTCATGAATTTGTAACTGGCTCAAGTCTGGCTGCTCGCTCCTCAGAGGCTGAAAACATGAGAAGCTAGGTGTGGTGAAACCAAAGCAGCTTTATTGTTCAAATGCTAAAGACGGGAGGATGGACTGGCTCAAGCCTTAAAGAAACCATCTCGACTTTTTGAACTCAGTGAACGGGTTTAAGGAAAACGTGGGAAATATGCAAAGGTGGTGCAGGAGGGTGCAGGTCTGTGTGTCTTATTCCCATGGATATCTTGAGTAATCGCTTGTCCAGAGGTGGGGTTTGTGTCATCCTGAATTCAACCCAGCAATGGTAGGGTACTGTTCATAACTCACCCTAAGCCAGAAGATTCCTCAGCTGGGTCTCTCTGCCTGGTTTGTTCCATCACTGGCCCCTGGCATTTCTAAGAAAACAAGTAATTAGATAAGCGAGCACTGTTCGTGGAAGTGCCTGGTGAGAAAGGGAGAAACAAAGACTTTCAAAGTGTGTTTCAAAGCTGAAAGCAGGAAAAAAAAAAAGATGCAAAATGCATTTTGAGGCTGGGATATTCGGTTACATGTTCACTGGAGAAACACTTTTCATTTCTTTCAAGAACTTTTCCTTTTCATTCACAACTTGGCTAACTGACCCAAGAGGCTTAGTTTGTGACCTCTCTCAGCTTTCAACTTGCCCCTTCATTAAGTTAAATCATTTGCAGGTTTTGATTTAAAGTATGAGATGTGAATCTTCCTTTCACTTACACTTAGAGGCCATTATGGGGTTACTAACTGGCCTACTTTCAGTATGGTTGTGTCTCAGGAAATAGGCCTGAGGAGAGGGAAAGAAACCAGGAACAGCCTGTTGGTGGAACAGTCAGAGCAAACACAAGGCCGGGCACAGTGGCTCACGCCTGTAATCCCAGCACTTTGGCAGGCGGAGGCAGGAGGATTTTGTGAGCCCTGAAGTTTGAGACCATCCTGGACAACATAAGAAGACCCTGTCTCTACAAAATTATTAAAAATTAGCTGGCCATGGTGGCACGTGCCTGTAGTCCCAGCTACCCAGGAGGCTGAGGTGGGAGAATTGCTTGGGCCCAGGAGGCCGATGCTTCAGTCAGCAGTGATCGTGCCACCACATTCCAGCCTTGGAGACAGGGTGAGATCCTCTCAAAAAAAAAAAAAAAAAAGAACACCCACAAAATTTATAGATTAAATTTACTATCCTGTTTAGGCAAGGTTTGTGGCACCCCCAAACAATTACAAAAGTAGCATCAAAGATCAATAACAAATCATCATAACAGATATGGTAATAATGACAAAGTTTGAAAAAAATGTGACACAGAGACATTAAGTGAGCACATATTGTTGAAACAGTGGCTCCAATAGACTTGCTGGAAGTAGGCTTGCCACACACCATCAATTAGCAAAAAACAAAAATGCAACATCTGCAAAGTACAATGAAGTGAAGTACAATAAAACAAAGTATGCCACTACTAATGTAAATTCTTTTTCATAATTGAATATAAACCTATTTATTTGGGTATCAGTCCTTGGTTTGTTGTCTTATTGTGATCTTTATGATCTATCTCATCTATTTAACAGTTATGGTGAGATATGTACCTTCTGTGGAAATATTCTGCCTGCCATATCTTAAGCTGTATAATATTCCCGAGTATATTTTTAGCAAATTTAATTGTGTGGTGATGTTCAGGTGCCTCATTTTAAAAAGAGCTCTCTGCTCTTTGTACCCCACTTTCAGGGATACCTTTTATTTAATCAAGAGAAATCTTATTTTAATTAATAATATATTAATATAATAATATCAGTGTTGCACATAACTTACACACTGTATATAATTTATATTATTTCCATAGTTTTATTATAGGGATGAAGCATATTCCCTCATATACTCAACTAATGAAGCTGGAACTGTAATTCTACAAAAAGTGTTCTTACATGCCATAAAAAACCATTTAAAATTATTGATGGGAGAGAGACATTTACATTTCTAACAGTGAATCTAAAACAGTTTTAAATATGCACAAAAATAAATGTGAAATTGTTTTTAATGCTAAAACCAAGATGCCTGAGGAAATTCACCTGCAGTACCTGGTGAGTTCTCCTCAACCTGGCCTCAGGAACAGATCAGGGTGATAGGCAAGGAGAAGAGGCAATAAACATTTGGCATCTTTAGTTTAATTAGATCCCATTTGTCAATTTTGTCTTTTGTTGCCATTGCTTTTGGTGTTTTGGACATGAAGTCCTTGCCCACGCCTATGTCCTGAATGGTAATGCCTAGGTTTTCTTCTAGGGTTTTTATGGTTTTAGGTTTAACGTTTAAATCTTTAATCCATCTTGAATTGATTTTTGTATAAGGTGTAAGGAAGGGATCCAGTTTCAGCTTTCTACATATGGCTAGCCAGTTTTCCCAGCACCATTTATTAAATAGGGAATCCTTTCCCCATTGCTTGTTTTTCTCAGGTTTGTCAAAGATCAGATAGTTGTAGATATGCGGCATTATTTCTGAGGGCTCTGTTCTGTTCCATTGATCTATATCTCTGTTTTGGTACCAGTACCATGCTGTTTTGGTTACCGTAGCCTTGTAGTATAGTTTGAAGTCAGGTAGTGTGATGCCTCCAGCTTTGTTCTTTTGGCTTAGGATTGACTTGGCGATGCGGGCTCTTTTTTGGTTCCATATGAACTTTAAAGTAGTTTTTTCCAATTCTGTGAAGAAAGTCATTGGTAGCTTGATGGGGATGGCATTGAATCTGTAAATTACCTTGGGCAGTATGGCCATTTTCACGATATTGATTCTTCCTACCCATGAGCATGGAATGTTCTTCCATTTGTTTGTGTCCTCTTTTATTTCCTTGAGCAGTGGTTTGTAGTTCTCCTTGATGAGGTCCTTCACATCCCTTGTAAGTTGGATTCCTAGGTATTTTATTCTCTTTGAAGCAATTTTGAATGGGAGTTCACCCATGATTTGGCTCTCTGTTTGTCTGTTGTTGGTGTATAAGAATGCTTGTGATTTTTGTACATTGATTTTGTATCCTGAGACTTTGCTGAAGTTGCTGGGATCTAATTAAACTAAAGAGCTTCTGCACAGCAAAAGAAACTACCATCAGAGTGAACAGGCAACCTACAACATGGGAGAAAATTTTCGCAACCTACTCATCTGACAAAGGGCTAATATCCAGAATCTACAATGAACTCAAACAAATTTACAAGAAAAAAACAAACAACCCCATCAAAAAGTGGGCGAAGGACATGAACAGACACTTCTCAAAAGAAGACATTTATGCAGCCAAAAAACACATGAAGAAATGCTCATCATCACTGGCCATCAGAGAAATGCAAATCAAAACCACTATGAGATATCATCTCACACCAGTTAGAATGGCAATCATTAAAAAGTCAGGAAACAACAGGTGCTGGAGAGGATGCGGAGAAATAGGAACACTTTTACACTGTTGGTGGGACTGTAAACTAGTTCAACCATTGTGGAAGTCAGTGTGGCGATTCCTCAGGGATCTAGAACTAGAAATACCATTTGACCCAGCCATCCCATTACTGGGTATATACCCAAATGAGTATAAATCATGCTGCTATAAAGACACATGCACACGTATGTTTATTGCGGCACTATTCACAATAGCAAAGACTTGGAACCAACCCAGATGTCCAACAATGATAGACTGGATTAAGAAAATGTGGCACATATACACCATGGAATACTATGCAGCCATAAAAAATGATGAGTTCATATCCTTTGTAGGGACATGGATGAAATTGGAAACCATCATTCTCAGTAAACTATCGCAAGAACAAAAAACCAAACACTGCATATTCTCACTCATAGGTGGGAATTGAACAATGAGATCACATGGACACAGGAAGGGGAATATCACACTCTGGGGACTGTGGTGGGGTCGGGGGAGGGAGGAGGGATAGCATTGGGAGATATACCTAATGCTAGATGACACATTAGTGGGTGCAGCGCACCAGCATGGCACATGTATACATATGTAACTAACCTGCACAATGTGCACATGTACCCTAAAACTTAGAGTATAATAAAAAAAAAAAAAATGTAAAAATGAAAAAAAAAAAAAAAAAAAAAAAACATTTGGCATCCAGGTATGACATCTCACAAAAGACCCAGCTTCATCAGAGATATTCAGAGAGCTGTTTTCTTACAGCCACTGAAATGCTTGAGAGGGCCCGGAGACAAACACGCATTGCATGTCCTAAGATTTATCTCAAAAATAGCTTTTACAGAATGCAATTAATAGGAGAGTGAGTGCCACTGATATTCAGGAAAGGTTAGTAAAAGACATGTTCTCTACACAAGAAGCAGAACTAATGCTAATACCAAGGATGGCATTCTTCCCACTTTCCTTTATGTTAAAAACATTAGGTTAATGTAAATTTTCTAAATCTTTTTGATATCCAGTACTGACTAATAAAATCAAATGAAAGCTTATAATGTAGTGAATTTTGTTTACAAAAGACATTCCTTTGTCCCCCAACAGATATAAATGTTTTATGGGCTACTTGACTATATTTAAATTAAAAAGCCTAATACATTCTTATATTTGCTGTAAAGTTAAGTAATGTAAGTTAAATTTTCATATAATATTCTACCTAAGAAACACCTAAAAAACCCTCTAAAGGTAAGAGAAGGTTAATACCTGCAAACACATTTAAAAGAACAAGGGAAAAACTAACATTGCTAACTATTTAAATGTTTAAGAGACATACACACATTATTTATATTGGAAACATATTTCAAATGACGGTATGAGTATACTTTGTATATTTAGGGAGTACAGAATATCTCCCTAATAAAAAATAATTATAGTTGCTTTCTGGGGGCATATTACCTAGTAAATGTTTGGAATATATGCCTTATATACTTTGCTATAATATTCTCACGCATTCTGTTCAAATTAGCAAACAGCCTATTCTAAAGACCATTTCTCTAAATTTGGCTAAAACATAAATTTACCATATTCAAAATATCACCAATCCCACATATTAAATGTGTTCTGTTATGTCTAATAGTGGGACAGAATATGTTTTTATTTGCATTCAACCAAAACAAAGTGTTGCTTTTATGAGAAGTTCATACTGCTGTGTAAATGTGTTTCTGTAATAAAGTGCAGAAAAAGTCATATCAAAGAAATGTAAAATTTAGAGGTTGAAGTAATACATGCCCAAATGCTATTTATTCATCTACTTCCAAAACCATTGAATAATGCGATTTCATTTTCATAAGTTTAGGAATGTCACATACTCAAAAGACAATTTTGATAAAACACTGATTTCTGTATTCCCTACTTAATTAATTTGGAGTGCCCGATTGTTTTCTAATGAAGTATCTTATTGCACAAGTATTAATTTAGTCACAGTAATTTCCCATATGAAAAAGGCATTTATTTAATGTGATATATTCATTTCATTCCAAAGGAAGAGATGCAATGTCATATTAAAATTAATGTATCATTTCATATTATGTTTTCTTATCTTTAGTAGAAATAGACACACTTCTGTTATTTAATATTAAAATTTAAATCTGAAAAAATTCACAAAAATAGTGCATTGTAGTAACATTGTCTTCATAACCTTTTTCTATTACATTACTACACAGTACATTAATTATTTTTGACCAACATAAACATTCAATATATTTTTATTTTCTGACAGGAGTAGAGCTAGCGTTCACTTTGAATTATTTTTCTTATGATTTCTAATATTACACATCTCTAAATGTAAGGTAACTTTAAAACGTTTATATATATAATATTTGAATCCATACATGCACATACCCACACACGTATCTATACATGCTGTAGAGTATAACATAATTTTTTCTGAAAATTTTATATTGACATCTAAGATTACTTTTTGTAATATTACTATCTGTAATAAATGTATTAGTAATTTATATCCATAAACAATTATATTTAACTACATTTGCATCTGGCCAAAAACATGCACCCCAACTTAATTTTTCTGAGAAACACAAGTACATTAATTTAATCAGGCATCTTCTTCCAATAAAAGGAAAATTGAAGAGGTGAATAAAACAATTATGCATATTGAATGAGTGTATTTTTCAATTGATTTGCCATCCGAGAGTAATTAAAAGAGTTGCTAGCATGTAGCAAACACTACATAAATAATAAAAATCCTTTTTCATGTATTTTTAACTAGAAGAATGGAAATTATGTTCCAAATTTGGCTGAGCTGTTGTGGGAAGGACAAAGAAAGGCTTATGACATCTATATGTACATTTTCTCATGTAGGGAAAAATCTGTCAATGTTTTAGGCTTAAAGACATATTTCCATGACTTGATTCTGGTTCGTGTTTCATGTTTTTTTTTTTCTGTAATATTGTTGTTAACTCGAGCAAATCAGTCACAGGGGATTAAAGTCCACAGAAACTTGCTTGTCAGTGTTTACTGTCTCTTTCACAACTACCAACATACAGGTGTCTCTTCTGCTATCTAAGAAACCCTTCCAGTACTTCTCAAGCTCTGTCTCCTGAGACACACTTGAAATGCTACATCTTCCATAAAACTCCACTATTGCTACTTCCTATATAAGTTCTCCTCTTTTTCACCTTTTAGGATATTCATATATTTAACTAAACTCTCTTTTTTGTTTTCTGTAGACTGGCTCTTCTAGGTAACAGTTGCCATTCACTTTTTAAAAAAGCAAAAGCGTTTAAGTCAAATCCTACCTCACTATCAATGCTCATCCACTCACCAGAAATGCACCTTTACTTAAATATTCATATTTGTAGATATTATAGTCACTTCATTATTTTGTTTGTATATATATTTGATCATTTAACTCTTTTACGGTATAGTATGTTGTCTCTTGCTTATAAAAAAGTTGTAGTCTTATTAAATAATTTCACCTGAGTGTTCATCACATAAAAGGAAAAAATTGAGAACTGAGATAGAATTTCTTGTTATATGAATTTATTTGCATTATATTCTCAAATTTTACTTCTTGTTTTACTTCAGACCGATCTTTTTATACCTTACTGCAAAAATTAGTCTTGTATCACAAACCCACCCTTTTCTTCATCTTCCTTACCTCTTCTTTCAAGGTATAAAATGTTTGCATTGTATTCTGAAGTAAAATTTTGTTTTAAATTTTAAAAAGTTGTTTTAAAATTAGAAACTATTTAAAGAACTTTCATTTACTATAACTATGCAACTAATATTAATTCCAGAAAATTAATTCGCTGCTAGAATTTTATTTTAATTTCTAATTGTCAATTCCATATAGCAAAAGGCTTAAAGAATCAGGATTGAACCAATTGCATCTTTGGCTGGAAATGTTCTGTATTTTATTTTACTTCACCTTGGGACCCCACTTTTATATTTGTTATAAAGATTCTCTAGTTGTCTTTTTTGTTCTAATATACTATGCCTTCCTATATCCTCAGGACAAAAGTAAAGCACAGTCTTCCTGAGAACATTCAGTTTCTTTCCCCCCACTCACTCTAAGCCTCTGTCTCCTTTCTCCAGTCCAGGCCAGTAGAATTAAACATACTTCCTAGTAGTCATCTAGGCACTTCCCATCACTGCATTTGAAAAAGTAAATGCAGTGTTTCTATAATCTTATATCCTCCCCAATTTTGGTGGTTATGTCAGTTATGTTGAGGTAAAAGGAGTGGTATATATAAACTGTCTGAGCCCATTAATATAAGAAAAAATGTCTTTATTTTTCCCTTTAATGCATTGATTACTTAACTGAATACAGAGCTCCAGCTCCCAAATCATTTTCACTAAGCACTATGGACACTTTTCTCATGATTTCTAGAAACCGTATTTTCCGTTGAAAGGTTTTATGCCAAGCCTTGGTCACATTTCTTTTCACATTTCTTTTCAAGTCAGTTTCTTTACAACTTCCAATTTTTGAATTTTCCCCTGGCTGTAACTTCATATGGGTGTTCTTACACTAATCATGCTTATCCTTAGAGACTGCTGCACATTTGAAGAAAATCGTGCCTTCCCTGGGTAGAAAATTCGCTTTTATATTTATTTTTTAGTTATCCTCTCCTTAATTTTTTTTCTGATCTCTCTTTCTGGAACTCACATTTGTCTACTGGCTGATGGATTTAACTTCGTTATCTCTGACGTCTTCTATCGCATTTTTAGTCTCCGTCTTCTAACTGTAAGGATGTGGAAATTTCACTAACTACAATTTTTCAGCCAAAATTATTTCTGGGGTTTTATGAATAGGCTATTAAATCCACTGAATCCTTTCCCATATGCATCTGTGCTCTGGATTTCATCCACAAATACACTCCAAAATCCTGTGTGCACCTAACATCTGAGAAAGTTTCATCTTTGAGTAGGAAATTCTCCTTGTGCTTTTGTATGTGTTTGGTGGATAAATCTCATTTGTGGACTTATCTTCACTGGCTTATCTTTTATATATGTGTTGGTTTCTGTTTAGTTCGGCTTTCTCCTCACTTTATATTCTTCTTCATGTTGACTTACATAGTCTCATGTTACTAATAAATGTTTAAATGTTGATGCCAGTTAAACTCTCTCTTTCTCTTTTTTTTTACTTTTAAGTTCACAGATACGTGTGCAGGTTTGTTATATAGGTTAACTTGTGTCATGGAGGTTAGTTGTACAGATTTCATCACCAGTGTATGAAACCTAGTGCCCATTAGTTACTTTTCCTGGTCTCCCTCCTCCCACCCTTCACATTCTGGTAGGCCCCAGTGTCTGTTGTTCCCCTCTACGTGTGCATGCGTTCTCATCATTTAGCTCTCACTTGTAAGTTAGAACATGCGGCATTTGGTTTTCTGTTCCTGCCTTAGTTTGCTAAGGATGATGGCCTCCAGCTCCATCCATGTTCCTGCAAAAAACATAGTCTCATTCTCTTTTATGGTTACATAATATTTCATGGTGTACAGTACTACATTTTCTTTATCCAGTCTACCATTGGTGGGCATTTAGATTGATTCCATGTATTTGATATTGTGAACAGTATGGCAATGAACATACACACGCATGTGTCTTTATATTAAAACATTTAATATTTCTTTGGGTGTATACCCAGTAGTAGGATTGCTGGGTCAAATGATAGTTCTGTTTTTAGGTCTTTGAGGAATCACCGCACTGCTTTCCACAATGTTTGAACTAATTTACACTCCCACCAACATTGTATAGGTATTCCTTTTTTTGTCTCTGCAACCTCGCCAGCACCTGTTACTTTGTGACTTTTTAATAATAGCCATTCAAACTAGTGTGAGATGATATCTCATTGCGGTTTTGATTTGCATTTCTCTAATGATCAGTGAAACTGAGCTTTTTTCATATGCTTGTCTGCTGCATGTATGTCTTCTTTTGTGAAGTGTCTATTCATGTCCCTTGCCAACTTGTTAATGGTTTTTTTTTTTTTTGTAAATTTAAGTTCCTTATAGATGCTGGATATTAGACCTTTATCAGATGCATAGTTTGCAAACATTTTCTTCCATTCCATAGGTTGTTTGTTTATTCCATTGATAGTTTGTTTTGCTGTGCAGGAGCTCTTTAGTTTAATTATATCCCATTTGTCAATTTTTGCTTTTGTTGCAATTGCTTTTGTCTTCTTTCTCATGAAATCTTTGCCCATTCCTATCAAAAACAATATTGCCTAGGCTGTCTTCCAGGGCTTTCATAGTTTTGAGTTTTACATTTAAGTTTTTAATCCATCTTGAAATGATTCTTGTATATGGTAAAAGGAAAGGATTCAGTTTCAACCTTCTGCATATGGCTAACCAGTTATCTCAGCACCATTTATTAAATAGGGAGTCCTTTCCTCATCATTTGCTTTTGTCATTTTTTTTTGAAGATCTGATGGTTGTAGGTATATGGCCTTATTTCTGGGTTCTCTATTTTGTTCCCTTGATCTATGTGTCTGTTTTTGTACCAGTACCATGTTGTTTTGGTTACTGTAGTCTTGTAGTATAGTTTAAGACCAGGTAGCATGAGGCCTCCAGCTTTGTTCTTTTTGCTTAGGATTGTCTTGGCTATTTGGCATTTTTTTTGGTTCCATATGATTTAATTATTTTTCTAGTTCTGAGGAAATGTCAGTGGTATTTTAATAGTAATAACATTGAATCTATAAATTGCTTTTGGCAATATGGCCACTTTAATCATATTGATTTGTTCTATCTATGAGCATGGAATGTTTTTTCATTTGTTTGTATCCCCTCTGATTTCTTTCAGCAGTGGTTTGTGGTTCTCATTGTAGAGACCTTTCACCTCCTTGGTTAGCTGTATTGCTGGGTATTTTATGCTTTTTGCGGCAATTGTGAATGGGATTGCATTCCTAATTTGGCTCTCAGCTTGATAGTTGTTGTATAGGAAAGTGAGTGATTTTTGTATGTCAGTTTCGTATCCTGAGACTTTGCTCAAGTTGCTTATCAGCTTAAGGAGCTTTTGGACTGAGATTGTGAAGTATTCTAGATATAGAATCATGTCATCTGCTAACAGAATTAGTTTTACTTCCTCTCTTCTTATTTGAGTACCTTTATTTCCTTCTCTTGCCTGATTGCTCTGGCCAGGACTTTCAGTGAATAGGAGAGGTAAGAGAGAGTATCTTTGTCTTATTCTGGTTTTTAAGGGAAATAACTCTACCTTTTGCCCATACAGTATGATGTTGCTGTGGGTTTGTCATAGATGGCTCTTATTATTTTGTGGTATGCTCCTTCAATACCTATTTTATTGAGAGTTTTTACCATGTAGGAATATTGAATTTTACCAAAAGCTTTTTCTGCATCTATTGAAATAATCATGTTTTTTTCCCTTCAATTCCGTTTATGTAATGAAATTCATTTATTGATTTGTGTACACTGAGCCAAATTTGGATCTCAGGGAAAAAGGCTATTTGATTGTGGTGGATGAGCTTATTAATGTTCTGCTGAATTTGGTTTACCAGTATTTTGTTGGGAATTTTTGCATTGATTTCTATCAAGTATATTGGCCTGAAGTTTTCTTTTGGCTGAGTCTCTGCCAGGTTTTTGTATCAGGATGATGCTGGCCTCATAGAATGAGTTAGGGAAGAGTCCCTCCTACTTAATATTTTGGAGTAGCTTCAGTAGAAATGGTACCAACTCTTCTTAGTACATCCGGTAGAATTCAGCTGTGAATCCATCTGTTCCTGGGCTTTTTTTTTTTTTGGTTGGTAGGTCATTTATTACTAATTCAATTTTGGAGCTTGTTTCTGGTTCAGTCTTGGGAGGATGTATGTGTACAGGAATTTATACATTTCTTCTAGGTTTTCTAGTTGAAGTGTATATATGTGTTTATAATATTATCTGATGGTCATTTGTATTTCTGTCAGGTCAATGGTAACATCCCCTTTGTCATTTCTGATAGTGTTTATTTAAATATTGTCTCCTTTATTCTTTATTAGTCTAGTTGGTGGTCTATTTTATTATTGCAAAAAGCTACTTCTGTATTTGTTGATCTTTTGATAAGGCTCAGAATTGCCTGCCACCACTGCCTGGCTTCTCCCTGCTGTCAGCACTGGCCCTGATCTTGGACTAAAGTTGAGCCTAGCCCAGGAGCTATAAACAGTGGGAGGCAGAGACCCAAGTGGAAGGGGGTGGGTAAGGTCCCCCCTTCAAGCCAGGGAGGGCCTGAAGGCTGGGGGCTAGGCTGACAGTTCCACCAACCAGAGTTGGAACTGCTGCCTTTTCCAGGCCACCCATGGGCCAATCAGCATGTACTTTCTCTCCTCTGAGGCCCATAAAAAGCCTGGAGATTTTTATGCTCAGCCAGAGTGGAGCAGATAATGAGACAACCAGCATCAGAGAGGAGCTACCCTTTCTGCTAAGAGCTTCAGAGACTGGCAGAGATCTGCAGAGACCACCAAGACCTTTAGAGTCCTGCAGAGATGGCCGAATGTCCTCTGCAGAGAGGAGCTAACCACTCCAGGGCCTCCTCTCTGCTGAGAGCAGTAGACCTTGAGATGACCAGCGAGCATAAAGGAGTTACCCTCTCCAGGGACTCCTCTCCTGAGAGCTGAACACTCAATGGACAAATTGCCTGCCCACAGAGGAGAGCTACCCACTGTGGGTCTCCTTCTGAGCTGTTCTGACACTAAAATAGAGCTCCTCTTCATGTTCTTTACCCTTCACTGATCTGCGTACCTCATTCTTCCTGGATGCAGGACAAGAACTCAGCACCACCTGAAACAGACGTTTCGGGGAAAGAAAACTGATACCCCAAAGATCCCATAACATTTTGGGGGCTCATTCAGGATCTGCGGAAGGGTGAATGAAAGTGAATCTGCTCTCTGTCCTTTTTTTTCAGAGTCTCTAAACTCCATAATAGTCAAGATGAAGGAAAAATACTGGGCCTTTGTCAACCAGTTAAAAGTGACTAGTGTGGTTGCCAGACTTAAGACACAGAGGATAGGCTTGCTGGAGAGGGCAATGTCAATCATTCATCACATTCAAGCACTGGGAATGTTGGCTTTGTTCCAACCCAGTTTCCCTTCACAGAGGTCTAGCAATTGCATGAGACTGAAAGGAGGTCCTGGGGCAACTGAGGGTATCTGGCCCAGCCTACACATTGGTGTTATTGAAAGGCTAATACCCTGGATTAACTCCAGTCCCTGACCACCCATTAGAGTGTTATCACTAGAACCTCCAGTAGAACCTCCAGTCTTTCTCTCTTTCCTTCCTTCCTTCCTCTCCTTCTTTTCTTTTATTTCCTTTTATTTTCTTTCTTTCTTTCTTTCTCCCTTCCTTTCTTTCTTTCATTCTTTCTTTTGTTATTTCTTTCTTTCTTCTCTTCTTTTGCAACTCTCATGGTTCTTATTTCTTTATATACAATGTTAAATGTTAAAGATGTTGTTGCAAACCACAGACATTACTAGGTATAATGAGCATTTGACTTAATTATCAGGAGTAGGAGTGTAAATGAGAACGGTATGGTGTCTATTCTTACAAGCAAGGAGGATACAACAGTTGAGCGTTTTCTTTCCCCCTGTTGAAAGAACCCACATGCAAAGGGCAAGAGGTATTTTCCTCAGGCACTTTCCCCTCCCTTGCACTTAAGTTGTTGTTTTGGGAGGCATCATGTTAAGCCAGGTTCCCAATTTCCAGGACTCTCTTTCTCTCACTTGGTTGAGAAGAACCTGGTCTCACAGCTTCACTTGCTTATGATAGGAAAGCAACGGAGAGGCTGTCCTGTCAGTTGCTGGATGCAATCTTCCAACAGCCACCTGGGACTAATAGAATGGGTCTATGCACTCTCCTGAGGCACCTTTTTTTCTGAAGCTTTGGTTTGAGGCCTCAGGGAAAAAAAAAAAAAAACTAAAAAACTAAATCTGAGGGGTCCAGAGGCAAGACAGTGGAGGTCTAGGGGCACAGCGCAGGTGAGCATGACTAACTCCTGCTGATTTGGCCCTCCCACTTCATGGATGGAGGTCATGCTCACATCCATGGCATAGATAAGGTCTAGGGAACTCAAAGATTACTGACAGTGAAAAGCCTGGGATCTTCTCAGGTGAGTGTGAATATTCCTGCAAGCTATTCCTCCTGCTTCATAAATGACAGTTGCATCTGCACCCATGGTTGGCACTTGCACAGGTCACCAGGACTCAGGGATATGAGGTCAGAAGAAGAGAGATACGTTTTCTTCTTCCATCACATATCCTGGGTATTCACTGGAAAGTGAGAGGAAGAAAGGGACACCTTTTCTTCTCTCCGTCACATACTCTGGGTATTTGCTGGGAAGAGAGAGGAATAAAGGGACACCTCTTTCCCCTTTTTTCAGATGGGTATCCAACCATTTTCAGCCTGCACTTCTCTTAAGTGCATCCTAAATCACTGGGACCCCTTTGACCCTCAGATACTAGAGAGAGAGGGAAAAAGGCTCCTTTCTTTCCTCTGTCCTCTCTTCCAGATGGATCACCAACGATCTTAAGCCTACACTCCTCTGAAGTGCATCCTAAATCACTGGGACTACTTTGGCTCTCAGAATCTGGAGAAAAAGTGCCTCACATTCCTTTGCACAAAGGTGTGGCTGAATTATGTTCTACAGGGAGGAGAAGCTTGGCCTCAGGAAGGAAGAATTAATTTCAATGCCATCCTGCAGCTGGATCTTTTCTGTAAACATGAGGGCAAATGTGCAAGCTTTCCTTGCCTAGTGGGGTAACCCACACCTTTGCTGATATTGTAGGATTGATTCAGCTCTCTTAGCAGCCATCTTAGGAGAGGCTGCAAGGGGCAGTCCCAGGGAACTTGGGAAGCAAACCTCATAGGTACCTCCAGTGGGGGAATCAACTCCCTCTGCTCCTCCCTGTCCAGGCTCTCCTCCAAGCTTGTCCCATCCTAGAAATCCTCATTTTAGTCAGGTCCCAGTCTCATTCCTTCCCCATTAAAGTTCCATTAAGGGTGAATATGGCCACATTAAAGTCCATGTCCCCTTTTCTCTACAGGACTTAAAGCAAATTGAGGGAGAACTTGGCAAGTTTTCAGATAACCCTGACAGGTATATAGAGCTTTCCAGAACTTAACCCAAATATTTTAACTCTTCTGGCAAGATGTCATATTACTTTTAAATCAACCCTGACTACTGCTGAAAAGCAAGGCATCCTGAAAGTGGCAGATAATTTTTGGGGATGAGCTTTGTATCTCATATAGGGCCAGGGAAGGGGATGACACCTTCCCAATTGGAAGAATTAGCAGTACCATGGGAGAATCCTAAATGGGACCCCAATGATGAAATGGCAGAATGGAGGAGGAAACACTTTCAGGTGTGCATGCTGGAGGTCTTATGAAAAACTAGGACTTAAGCCTCTCTATTACTCCAAGCTATCCATGATAGAGTAGGATTATGAGAACCCCATTGCTTTCCTGGAAAGGCTAAGAGGGACCTTGATAAAACATACCTTTCTATTTCCTGATTCAGTCAAGGGACAACTAATCCAAAAGGATACGTTTATCACACAGGCAGCCCCTGACATCAAGAGGAAGCTACAGAAATAGGATATAGGACCGGATAGTACTTTACAGAACTTCCTGAAAGTGGCCACCTTGGTCTTTTACAATAGGGACCAGGAAGAAGTCCAAAAAACGGAAAGAACGTAAAGAAAAAAGGCAGAGGCCCTAATAGCTGCCTTTCAGGCTCACAGAACCACACAGTTCTCAAGATGCAACTGCTAACTACTACAAATGTGGCAAGCCAGGGCACATTAGGAAGGACTGTCCAGATAGCAGGAGAAAACCACCTCAACCCTGTCCAATTTGCAGTGGGGACCCATGGAGGGCAAATTGTCCACAGAGACACCGGTCACTGGGTCCAGAACTAGTCTCCAAATTGTCCAGCAGGACTGATGGGTGCCAGAGCTCCTCCTCGCAGCTCCAGTGGTCCAGACTGCCATTACCATTCAGGAGCCCTGAGTGATTCTGGAAGTTCAAGGGAGGAAGGTAGACTTCCTCCTGGATGCAAGAGCAGGCTTTTCAGTTCTCCTTTCCAATACAGAACCCCCTCCTCTCTTAGCATGACTGTGAGGGGCATCTCAGGAAAACATTTACCCTGATATTTTCCCCAAATCCTTAGTTTTCCCAAACCCTTAGTTGTATTTGGGGAGACCTCTTGTTTAATCCTGACTTTTTAAACATGCCTGAAAGCCCTACTCTTCGGCTAGGCAGGAATATCTTGGCTCATATGGGAACCATCATCTTTATGGCTACAGGACAGATTCTTTGTCTCCCCTTCATGGAGACCGATATTAACCCAGAAGTCTGGGCAACTCAGGGGAAAATTGGCCAAGCCACAACTGCCATACCAGTTGTGATCCACCTTAAGGATCCTACCTCCTTTCCTAACCAGAGACAATATCTCCCCAAACCAGAAGTTAGGAAAGGACTAGGAGCCATCATTGATAACTTAAGGATACAGGGCCTCTTCAAACCCTGCAACAGCCCTTGTAATACTCTGATACCAGGGGTACAAAAACCCTATGGGGAATGGAGACTGGTCCCGGACCTCAACCTCATTAATCATGAGGCCAAAATCAGAGGCCATTACTACGTGTGCTATTAAGGATAGTACTGATAAGTTTAAATGTGTTTTATGGTCCCTGGATTGTTGAGATAAAGATTAAAAAATTTTTAAATGTGGATGATAAAATTTAAAATAAATCCACTTAAGGATTATAAGTAAAGCTTATGAATTTCAACCTTAGAGAGGAAAAATTTGGTTGAATTTTTTCTCATTATTTTCTTATATCTTTGCATGTCTGGTAAAATTTTATTAAATGCTCAGCATTTTGAATTTTACCTTGCTAGGCATTTGATGTTTTAAAATTCTTATAAATACTTTATCCACTATTCTAGGGTATATTCAGATAACTTGAGAAAATTTTGATTATCTGGAATCATGTTTTTAAGATATGTTAGATGAGACTGGAATAGTGCTCAGTGTACCATCACTAAACAGAAATGAATACTGAGTAATATCTACCATTACCACACTTACCATTACTAAAACAACCCACTCTGTGTACCCTACCCCCAAAATTATGAAGCCACTGCAGCTTGTGTGAAAAGGCATTATTCCTGGCTTGTTTTAAGAGCTGGAAGTCTTATCTTTTCCTTTTCTGTAGTACTTCCCCTAGTTCCATTAGTAGGTAGCTTCCTCACACATACGCACTTACCTGTGCTCAGCAGAATGCTTCAAATGGACCATCTTCAATTACCTCTCTCTCTCTCTCTCTCTAGCAGCCTGTCCTTCTTCAGTATTCTGTCCTGCATATTCTAGAACCATTTTTTTCTCCTTAGATTCTCAGCCCCCATCTCCTCAGTTTAGGCAGACTTCCTGGCTCTGCCTTGATTTCTCTCCCTGCTTGGAAACTCTCAAAACAGTTAGCTGGTTGTTCAGAGGATTTGATTCCTAAATGCCAGGAGTCACTATCTATTTTTATCTCATGTCTGGGTGTCTTGCTATTTATTGTTTGTATATTTTTACTATTGTTTGTATATTTTTACTATGTTTACGTTGTTTCTGGCAGAAGGGTTAGTTCTAGTCCCTGTCATTAATCCATCTTGGTTGAATATGTGAATCCTTAAGGATTTTAAAATTAATATCATTTATTGTAGGTTGAGTATATACCCAAATACCATTGAAAATAGAGAAAATTTTAATTATTAAATAGATGTAATGGACAAACTCAGAAATCTAGTATCAAATATTAGAGAGTATTCATCTTTTCCATAACACAGGAAATATTTAAAATATTGATTATATATTCCCATAAGGGGAGTCAAAATTAAAATTAAAAATATATATAATTATAACACATTTTTAGAAATAAGTTTTAAAAGTTTAATAAAACTCCATTTATAAATAACATTTTTCTAAATTATTCACAGATCAAAATAGAAATCCTAGTAAAAATGTAAAACCTTTTATAACAATAACAATGACAATAATACCTATTGACACACATATGGAATACAACAACATTCAAATATGTTATAATGTACAATTAAAATTATTATATTAGAAAAATTAAGAAATTCTGAGAATTATTTATTATATAAAGTATAAGAACCACTAAGTAGACTCAATGTGTGCAGAAGTATTGTGATATTAAATCAGGGATCATAAATCAATAAAGTAGAAAAATGAGACACATGAAAATTACCAATTTAGCCAAAGGAAGATTTTTATAAAATTACAGTTCCACAGTAATATTGTGTCTGTGTGTGTGTGCGTGTCTGTATGTGTGTGTGTGTGAGAGAGAGAAGGAGAGAGAGAGAGAGAACATAAAACTGAGAAACAGTGACTACAATTGTCCACAAGAACAATCTAAAAATAGAATAAGAGTATGTTGCTAAATCTATGCCAATAAAATTTAAAACTACAACGAATGGATAAATAATTTTAAAAGTACAATGCTCCAAGTCCTTGTCAAAAAGCAATAGCATGGATATGGAATTCTATAGCTATTACAAATATTGAATCATTGGCTAAATCTGTTCCCGCAAGTAACTCCTCAGGCCATGTGATGAATTACCGGCAATTCTAACCAAACTTGCAAGAAAATGCATATTCCAATTGTACACAAATTTTTACAAGAGCGGAATCAGAGGTCACATTTCTCCACTCATTCTAGGAGGCCAATATGACTTTGATACAAAAATGGAATTTGAGCAGTTCAGGAAAGAAAAACATCATCAGGTTAATAGAAATCATGAGCAGTAATTCAAATATCTTAAATAAAACAATTGTAACCTCACTCCAGTAGTATTAAAAAAAAATCTCAACGAAGCTGCGTTTATTCTGGTAAAGATGGAGTACCTAATTTTTGGTAAATTGTATAAATAAACTCTATTAAATCCTTAATTAAAGAAAAAATGTTATTTTAATTGATGTAAAATAGAGCCATTTTCTGAATTTCAAAATCTTTTTATTATAAAAAATAAATTAGAGGAAACTAAAATTAAAATGTAAATGAAGTTATGTACAATAAATTGTACTAGGCCCCATTCTTCATTGTGAAATGATAGAAGTTTCCCTGTAAACTTGGGTAGAATACAGTAATATCAGTAATTGCTAATTTTATTCAGCATTATACTGAAAATAATGGTTGACAAATGAAAATACCTATAGTTTTAAGGCAAAAGGATTGTTAAAAATAATCTTGTTAAAATTCAAAAGAGATAGAATTGTCTACATAAAAAAATTTAAAATATACATATAAAACAAGAAAGAATATGAGGGATTGGAGCATTTTCTAATTCAGAAGGTAATTACATAGCTGCCAAAGAACAACAAATAGTTGATAATTTAATAAGTTGATTCCACTTTGAAAAGCAGTGACATTTGTAAGAAACAAAGATAAAAGTTCAGTATAAAAAGCATCAAAGAGTGTAAAAAAAAAAAGTACCTTACATGGAAGTCTCTAAAAAAGGCTTCAGTGAATTCAGATATTCAATGACCATTACTACAAAATTTCCAAAACCAAAAGTCGGCCATTATCCCCTACATGAATATAGATTCACTGAAGCTTTTAAGTCAAGAACTACATTCTTCATGAGGCTGTGCAAGAATGAGAATTGACTGCAATAACTCTCTGTCTTTGGTAGATTACATTTTCAGTTTGATGCAGACACTCTGAACCTGTGAATGCTCCTGAATGGGTTGCACAGGCATGGTGGTTTCCTCCTCCAATGTTACCGAAGTCCTCGTTATAGGCTGTGACTACTGAACACCTATTGGGGCCAGCTAAATTCTAAGTGAGCTCGTTGGCATTACAGAGTTAATATCTTGTATTACAACTGGTGCTGGTGAATTCTAAATTTGTCTAGCATGAGTTGAATCCACTGATCTCAATTTCATGATCTTTATGTGGGCTGCGAGTTGTTGAGATTATTCTGACACCAATCCATAAATGAAATGATTTAATGTCATTTGTTTATTACTACATCTCTGGTCATTGTACAATTATACAAAGAGTATATTATCAAATATTTGTTTAAAGAGTGAATAGGTAAAATTATGCCGAAGTTCCCTCAATCAAGGTGACTCGAAATGGTTGTCTGACAACATAATATTCTTTAGGCATTTTTACTTTTAGCTAATTAAGTTAGGAGGCTTTGTCTAAATACACAAAACTAGAATTCACATTCAGTTACATTCCATAACATGAATAAAGGTCATAATAATGAACAATTTTTTCTACCATATTTTATATAACAATGTAAAATTTAATATTTTTGTTCTTAAGTGTAGAGTGCTAATATTTGTAGTATGAACAGCAATAAAAAAGACCAGAATAAATGGTGAGGGTGGAATAAACAAAGTTTCTTCTGATAAGGTTTTCAACCCTCCATAATAGACATGGATTTTTATAGACAGAGTTTTAGAGGATGTACTTGGGGAATTGCTGTGATTTCTAAACTCATACAACCTTTGCAAAACCTTCTTTCTATGTTAGACTTTATCAAGTATCGCTTAGCCTCACACTGCGGTATTCATGTGGCCAAAAAATCTGTCTAAAAACAGATTTATGACAATTTTATTGTACTGCTGTTACTGCTTTCTACGTCTGCTAACTGCCTTTCCTGAGCACTTAATCAGCGAAGCTCTGTCTGTGATAAGCATTCACATATATTCTGTCATTTAAATTTTAACATTGCATGAGGGACAGACGATGTTATCCCCATCTTACAAATTAGAACGCCAAAGATAAAATGGTTTAAAAACTTAGTCCAAGGTGACACAGCTAGCAGAGGTGATTTGAATTATTTGAATGGAGATCTATTTGATTGCAAGGCCTATGTCATTAATCACTGTGCTGCACTGACGATTGTATGTCCTTCTATATATATAGGGCATCTCTGTTTAACTGTTTCCATTCCCAACTCTATTTTTATAGTAATACTTTTAAATGTTTACATACTGGTTTTGCATTATCTACTACTCAGATGCACACTTCAATACATGTATTTCAAAACAATACATGAATGGGATACATTCTGAGCCTTCGTTTATCTTAGAATTTACTTTTATTCACTCATACATAAAAATGTTAGTTTTTTTTATCAACACTATGATCTCATGAATTTTAGGTTTGCAAAAGAAGATACTGATATTGTCCACTAAAAGTAACAGTAACTACCACAACATACTGTCTACTAGTATTACATAACGAGAATGTTATTTTTGTATGACCACTATTCTTCAATGCTTGTTTTCCTTTTTGGTTGCGATTTTGTTTTGTTGATATTTCTTAACCCTCAAATAACCGTTCAAAGTATTGTTAGGCTATTTCCAAGAGTCAGACTATATTGTTTTTATTTCCTAAAAAATGCAAGTTATTACAATTTGAATGTACATTTCTATCTAAAGCTCAAGAGAAAGCATTTAGTTTTCATATCACTTTGAATCTGCGTTTTTGCTATATTTGTTCTCTTCTCTGCATCAGGAACACCTACTATTCATTTGCTGAATCATCTAGTATGCCTGTAGCTTAAAACTGTTGAATTCTTTTACCCCCATTGCAAGTTTATTTGACATTCTGTGTTGATCTATAGAATTTATAACCTATTCTAATTGCCTCTGACTAGATTAGCAGTCATTGTTTAAAAGAGTTTTATTCATATATAATGAAGTCACTTGATCTATCCTGAATCTCATCAAGAGTTATTTTAGTTCCTGTAAATGTATAAATTCCATAATAATCTAGACATGGACTTTTAGATAAACATTCAAAAGATAGAACTAAATAGTAAGATTCAAAGGGAGAATTCTATTTAGAATGTAGTTATTGAAGTCCATATTAAATTCTTCATTTTTATACCACAATGGGGATGACAGAGTGGAAGAATTGAACATAAATTAATTAGGCCCTTCCACAATTCTGTCAAACCAACTACGTCAGGATGGTTGGAAACATGGTAAAACTAGTAAATTTCATAAGGATGGGCCTTTTGCCATTCTTTATTTGCTGTGAAGTGGGCTACTTGATCAGGAACAATGTTGCATGGAATACCATGATAGTGAATAAGGCATTTTTATGAATCCACAAATGATAGTTTTGTCACAAGCATTGCATCAAGGGAAGGCCTATCTATATCCAAAGTGTTTCTCTTCCAGTAAGAATAAAACTCTGCCTCTTCCATGATGGAAAGAGTGCAATGTAGTCAAACTGCCAAAAGGTAGTTAATAATCATGGTAGAGAATATCATTCAGGGTTGGTCTCTGCTACTGGCAGATTTGGCACTCAGCAGTGGCTATAGCCAGATCAGCCTCAATGAGTGGAAGCTCATATTGCTGAGCCTGTGCGTAACCTGTATCCCTGCCACCATCACCGGCCACTTTGTCTATGAGCCCATTGTCCAATGGCAGGTTTGAGTAGGAAAGAGACTGGTATCTAAAGAATGGGTCATTTTATCCACTTGACTGCTATATCTTCTACTGTTGGGGTCACCCCTATTGAATATTCACATAGAACACAAATGTCTTCATGTTCTTTGCCCATTCAGAAGTCTATCCAGATATCTCTTCCCCAGAACACCTTGTCACCAATTTTTTAATCATGTTCCTTCAAATTCCCTTATCATAGAGCTAAACCATTGGTCATAGCTCATACATCAATATATACTCATATCTCTGGCCATCTTTCTTTCCAGCCAAAATAAGCAACCGAATACATTGCTCAAAACTCTGCCCACTGGAAAGATTTCCCTTTGGCATTCCCCTTTAGGGATATCCTAGGAAGGGGCTGTAGTGCTCAAGTTTTTCACTTCTGGGTGATGCTAGTTTAGTGTTCAGAACTCTCTATAAAGCAGATCTGAGTTTTCTCTTTCTTGGTCTAATAATTGTAAGAAATTGCCCATGAGGCTATAAATATAGTCTGGGGAAGCAAAGGTAATGTAGCAGGCATAGGGACCATTGGTATTGAGGTTATATTTTCATGTATTGTTCCATCAAGGTCTGCTCAAACCTGATCTTGTATATACCACTTCCATTTGATAACAGAGTGCTGTAGTACACACCCCACTTTATGACTTGGGAGATAAAACAATTTCTGGCTCATACTGGAAAGCTCAGTTGCATAAAAGCTTGGTGGCCCATGGTTAAGTATTCTGTGTCTAATAAGGCCCAGTAGCAAGCCAAAACTCTTTCTTAAAGGCAAATAATCATCCACAGAAGGTGGCATGACTTTGTCAAAATCCTAAGGATATGTACTGTGATTCAAATATCGGAACATGCCAAAGGTTTTAAATAGCATAACTTTCTGTCACTGACACATCAAGCGCCATCAGATCTGCTGTATCCTGTGGCCGAAGTGTTACAGCAGCTTGCATGGCAGCCTGGAATTTTGCATACACTTCTCTTCTGGGGATTACTCAAAATTAGCTGCTTTTTACATCCCTTGTTATATGAGCCAGGATAGCACATCCTGATGAAAAACATGTTGCTCTGGAATTAAAATTAGATGGCTGGATGCTGTACCATTTTTTTTTTCGGTTGTAGGAGGTACCAGATGCAATAACTAATATTTCACCTTAGAAGAGCTATCTCAACATACCCTGCTTCACTTTACCTCTAAAAATTTCTCTAAGGAAGTCTCATGAATTTTTGTCAGATTGATATTACATCCTCTGACATAGATTTCTTCTCAATACATCTATAAAAATTGCTACTTATTGCTTACTCAGTCCAATAGGCATAACATCAATATTATAGACTAAAGGATTGTCTTATAGAAGGGAGTTTGATCGAGGTCTCTGCAGATGAAATTGTAGTAATCGGGGGAAGAATAGATATAATCTCAAGCTTGGACAGTAAAGGTGCATTGCTGACATTGCCAGCAAAATGCAAACAGCTTATGGTGGTCTTTTTTTTGACAGGTATTATGAAAAAAAATCTCCTAGTTCAATAGTTGCATAACAGATGCCAGATGATGTGCTAATTTGTTCAAACAATGGAACCACTCCTGAAAAGCAGCTGCAGTTGGTTGAGTTTATAATAACCTACTGTCATTCCCTGAAACTCATCTTTTTTCTTCACAGACCAAATAGCTGAGTTGAAGGAGACATGGGGGCAGTCACCATCTCTGTATCTTTTTAGTTCTTGATGTTAACACTAATCTCTGCAGTCCTCCAGGAGTGCAGTATTCCTTTCAGTTTACTCTTCTCTTAGGGAGAAGTAATTCTAGTGGCTTTTATTTGGCCATTCAAAACTCATGCTTGAGCCACTGCATAACTAGATTTTTTAAAAAATATTTTGATTATAAATTAACATCATACATAAATATTAACTGAAAATTTATTTTGGGCCTAGAAATAATAGTTGAAATTATAAAAGGCCTAAAAGGAAATAATAAAAATATTTGATAGAAGTTTGGCAAGAACTTATTAGATAGGACACAAAAAATATGAATAGTAAAATAACAATAGTTCGTTAATTTGTGCTTCATGCTAATTTTTAAATTCTCTTCAAAATACACCAATTACAGAAGATAGCAGGCAAGAAGACAAAGACTAGGAGGAAATATTTCAATAAATATACTTAATAAAATTGTTGTAATCAGAAATTTTAAAATTCTCTTAAATTTCAGAGAGAAGACAAGTAGACAATTAAAATTTTGGAGCAAATATTTGAATGTACAATTCCCAGATGTTACAGAAATGATAAATGACCACACTGAAAAATGCTTAAAACCTTAGTCACAATAGAAATATAAAATTAAGCCATAATGAGTTAGCCATTTCATAAAGGAAAAAAAAAAAGGACTAGTGATAGCAACTGTCGGTAAGAATACATAACACTCAAAATTTTCGAGTGGATTTGTGAAACAGTAAAAACATTTGGACATAGTTTGGCTGTTTCTTATAAAGCTAACTATTCACTTACAATATGGGCTAGCAATTTATTTCTTAAATATTTGACCAAAGGAAGCGGAAACATACATCTACAAAAAGAATCATACAGAAATATTAAAAAACTCTTTTATTGATAATAATCCCTAATTGTATACATTTCATCAAGAATCAAATGAAGACACACAATTAGACATTTTGGTGTATCTATGTGGTGGATTTCTTTTCAGTATTAAAATGAATGGGTTCTGATAAAATCAATAAGGATGGTTAAAACATTATGCTGAGTAAAGGAAGACAGTTATCAAAGATGCCACAGACTCTATGGCATATGATACCATTTGTATATGTCTTGGAAAAGCCAAATCTAACCTATAGAGATAAAGTGTTTCATTTGTCACTTGTTATCACTATGTCGGGTGGAGAATGACTGGTAAGAGGCACACAGAAACTTTTGGGGTTACGGAAATATTCTGTGCTGTGATTTTGACTGTCGTTTCGTGATTGTCCATATATGTTGCAACAATAAAATTATTTCAGGCCAGGCGCGGTGGCTCACACCTGTAATCCCAGCACTTTGGGAGTCTGAGGTGGGCGGATCAGGAGGTCAAGAGTTCAAGACCATCTGGGCCAACATGGTGAAACCCCGTCTTTACTAAAAATACAAAAATTAGCTGGGTGTGGTGGCGCGCGCCTATAGTCTCAGCTACTCGGGAATCTGAGGCAGGAGAATCACTTGAACCAGGGAGGCGGAAGTTGCAGTGAGCTGAGATCGCGCCACTGCACTCCAGCCTGGCGACAGAGCGAGAGTCAGTCTCAAATATGTATATATCTATATATATAATTTCATTAAGTGTAAACTGTATCTTATTAAAATTAAAGCAAAGCAACATCAACAACAAAAATGCATCAGAACCTAAAGCAAGGAAATAAAATGATTTATATATAAAAATAATTAAGACCTCTTAAATAGATAAGCTAATCCTGCATCCAAACTACAGGAACAGTCTTATATAACTGTTTTGTCTCTTGAACAAAAAGTGAGAAGAAATAGTAAATGATGATATCTCCACAGTGTGAACAATGTGGACTGAGGTTGGATGGAAGTTAAAGACCCTTACAAAAACCATATTTAGTCTTTGTGAATAAAGAAATTTTCTACCAATAGTATCATTGTGATTCAGGATATCTATATCTATATCTACATATAGATATAGATATGTATATATACAGAGAGAGTGAGGAAGAAGGTGAATGTGAAATAAATTTCACCAGCGTTCTGCTGCTGAAGCCTGAGGCCCCTGGCAGAAGTAAGAAAGAAATGTGTGGCACAAAAGGCAGTTCCTGGCCAATGGAGAAAGGACTGCTAAAGGCAGAAAGCCTCCTCAAGAAGCAAGCAGATTTTTTTTTTCCAAAAATACTAAAGCAATTTTTATTTTATTTGCATTGGTTTGCTTATTACTTTTTAAATATATAGCAACAAACAGTTAAAACACTCCAAGCCTGATAAGGTACTACTAAGGATACTTGACATAGTGCAGCCCCACCCCATCTTGTTATCACATGTGACAGCATTTCCTCTGAAATCTTCATTTTCATCTTCAATTTTGTGACTGCCCACCCTTATGATTTAGTTAGTATTATGTAGGAACAGTCACCCCAATAGATATTACCCACCTGGAACTGCAGAGTCAATGATTATAGTCACTTTCCTCAAAGCACAGTTATACTCTCTTAGTTCTTTTCTGTTCATCTTATAAAACATTAGCTGTCATTATGCCCAATTTTTTTTCCCGTTTGTTTGTTTTCTGAACTGTCATCTTGGCTATTGACCAGTGGTAGAGAAAAGTTACGGAACTTGCCAAACTATTTAAATATTAAGGTGTCAACCACAAATTTTACATGTTTTAGAAATACTCAGAAATGTCACCATATTTTCATTTCTAACTCTCTAGGAGGACAATCTCTGCCTCATCTTGCCCCTGCAGCCTCCTTATTTTACTCAACCACAATTGGTGATTTTTAAAATGATACTTCACTAGGTAAATATAACTTAATGAAATGAAAAATATCTCATCTTCCACCAGAAACACTCATAAACTCATTTGCACCCAGCCTGACAGTCGCTATCTTTCCTTCTGTTACAACGGGAGATGTGACCTAATTTTCTGGGTTACGTGATTTCCATTCATCTCAAAAGCCCTTGTTTCTTTCCTTACGCTCAATTCCTTCTGCATCTTTCTTGCCTTTTGATAATTTCTATTAACATATAATCATGGTTTAAATTCCCCCATCTTATAAATAAGTAGAAATAATGAAAGTTTTTGTTTCTCAGTATGTAAAATAAATGTTCGAAGAACAGGTTACCTAGTAGGGGTTTGCTAACAACTGCCTGGCAAGTCTCCCAGCTTCATTCTTCTCCTCCTTCAGTCTGTTCTTCACACAAACGGGAGTGATTCTCTTCTATCAAAGCTATTGGCAAGTAAGATACAGAAAGGCAATGATTCTTCTCTGTTTCCTCTCTCATGAGCCCTGGTTCCTAGTAGAAAGCTTAGCATCTAGTAGGCAGTTAAAATATATTTATTGAATAACTGAATGTATGGACAGTCAATGTCTAAACCACGTGGCTGCTGGGTGTCACACCCACTCGAAATTCCACTAGTGTTCTGCTCTCTCACCACGCACAGATCCGTCTCCCTTCCTACTCTGCTCAGTTATGCCAATGGCTTTACAGTCTAGAGACCCTGTGTTTAAGCTTACAGAAGAATATACACCAAGAGAGTTATAGTGGCAAAGCAAGAGGAAAAATGAAAAAAAAGGTATTTGGGTTAGGATGAAAAAGATAAAAAGGAATATCCCACTCATTTTTATATTTTTAAACATTAATTTTTCCATTTTTTTTCACATCGACAAACAAAGAATACTCATGACGAAGGTAGGGAAATGAGGTAACTGCATGTTACAAGAGTGAAGCATTTTTATTTTCCCTTAGTCATCTCAAATATAATCACTTAATAAATAACATAGTATATGGAATTCCTTTAAGTGCTCCAAGCAGCTCGTGATATAATATTGTAATTTATTTTAATATGTGAATTTCCTTTGTGATTCTTGGATAATCCATATCACAGAAGTACTATAAATATAGGACACATATAAAAGATCTCTGAAATTTAGGTGTTTGGGCTTTTTCTTTCTTTCTTTTTTTATAAACAATAGAAATTTATTTCTCACAATTGTGGAGACCGACATGTCCAAGATTAAGGCACTGGCAGATTTGATGTCTGATGACGGCCTGTTGCCTGGCGCACAGATTGTCGTCTTTCACTGTAACCTCACCATGACGGAACGGGCAAGGGAACTCTCTGTGGCCTCTTGTATAAGGATACTAATCCTATTCATGAAGGCTGCACCTTCATTACCTAATTACCTCCCAAAGGCTCACCTCCAGATACCATCACACTGGGTGTTAAGATTTAACATACAAATTTTGGGGGGACATGGCCGGGCGCGGTGGCTCATGCCTGTAATCCCAGCACTTTGGGAGGCCGAGGTGGGCGGATCACGAGGTCAGGAGATCGAGACCATCCTGGCTAACATGGTGAAACCCCGTCTCTACTAAAAACACAAAAAATTAGCGGGCGCCTGTAGTACCGGCTACTCGGGAAGCTGAGGGAGGAGAATGGCGTGAACCCGGGAGGTGGAGCTTGCAGTGAGCCGAGATTGTGCCACTGCACTCCAGCCTGGGCGACAAAGTGAGACTCTGCCTAAAAAAAAAAAAAAAAAAAAAAAAAAAAAAAAAAAAAAAAAAAAAAAAAAATTTGAGGGGGACATAAGCATTCAGTCTCTAGCAGGTAATTTTTTAATAATGTGATTTTTCTAGGTATTGTAACTATTAATACTTGGTGGGTTTTTTTGTGGTCACTGCTTTTTTTTTATTATACTTTAAGTTCTAGGGTACATGTGCACAACGTGCAGGTTTGTTACATATGTATACATGTGCCATGTTGGTGTGCTGCACCCATTAACTCGTCATTTACATTAGGTATATCTCCTAATGCTATCCCTCCCCGCTCCACCCACCCCAGGACAGGCCCCGGTGTGTGATGTTCTCCTTCCTGTGTCCAAGTGTTCTCATTGTTCAATAAAATTATTCCACTTTTTGCCCCAATGTTTTTGCTAAGTTTAAAATATTTTTGCAGGCTATCTTATTTATTTGTTTTCTGTTTTTTCATTTATTGAATAATTCTAAGTGTATTAATATAGCAGTAAGGACTCAAGGTCAGATATTGTTTAGTGGAACTAACTCATAGATAAAAGTTACATACTGTACTTCACTTTTTAGAGTTTTCTGTATTTGAGATAAAATATACTGTGACAATTGACTGAGTAAAAACAGAAAACTGCATTTTATCAGTTCATTTTTAGTAGAGTGATGGAGAAACTTAAAAAAATTGATTCTGAAGAGCCAGTTATATTTTATTGGTTTACTATCATATAAAATTTGTTCCAAATATTTATTTTTTCCAAATTAGACGCTGTCATATATCCCCTCTACTATAAAACATCACTATTTTCCTCCTAAATCTCAGACAAAAATGTTAAATTATATAAGCATGTAAGCTTACTGACAGAGTAGTTGAAAAAACAAAATACTTTGAAAAGAATTTTCATCGGTACTGGCAGTAATAACATTTCCTTTCTATTCCTGTACTTTGTGGATTAAAATGATGCCTAGCATTTTCTACCTGACAGTGGTGACAATGCCAAATTCTCAAATACCCTCATATAATACATGTTTGCAATGACGGTTGCTACTATTGTTAATTGCTAAAAAATTTTCATTAATTAACAGTGCAATTTAATTATTTGATTACCTAACTCTGTAATAATGTGAATGAATTGTTTTTATTTTATTAAAACATTTGATGATTATAATTTTAAATGTATTTACATCTAAGTCATTTTTTTCATTTGTGTGCCTTTTTCCATATACAATCTGGTTTCATTTTATGGGAAATGACTTTTATGAGGGTGACATTAATGTTAATTGAGTTGTTTCATCTACTTGATTGTGTATCATGCTGAAAGTGTCACGTTAATGACGAAAGCCATCAAAACAACAAAGTTATTGTGTTATTAATTAACTAAGATTATTCGTTTTGTTTTCTTAATTTTCAAATATTTGAATGCAACAGTGTTACATGCAAAAAATAGAACATAGAGACCTGTTCCTCACCACTGGGTAAAGTATAATCACTTCAGAAATGAAGTCTGACAGATGCTATTTCTGGTTAGCATCTGGAAATGGCATGTCAATCTCTGAAAGCTTATTACTCAATATCAAAGAGGATTTAGCATTTAAAGGGAAATAATCTAAGTCAGTCCATGAGATCAAATAAATAAATAAATAATTTCATCTAAAAATTTTCCATCCCGTTTGTCTTCTTTCACCTTTCTTTCAAATCTGTTAGGATAGGAAGAAAAAAACCTTAGTCTGGCATACTTTCTATTCTTCCTTACACACTTTCAAGCGTGTATGATGTCTCATGTGTGAAATTTTGTAGTTGCATATTTAGATGCTAAGATACTGACTATTTGCATTTTGGCGTAATACATTTTTGGAAATAAGTGTGTGTTGTGGGGGGTAGAACTCAGTTAAGTAATTAAGCTATGGAAATAAATTTATAAATCAGTTAAGATAATCAAACATTTATAAACACCTGTGTGCATTGTATGATATTCAACACACATAGTGGTTTGTGACTGCTTCAGAATTTTTTTATTAATATGCTGACCAAATAGAGGTAAAAGAACATTTAATTTCTCCAATGGCCTATACTTCAAGGACCCAAGTATTAGAGACAATATCTATCACTCATATTCATTCGTATATATCTGCTCTGAGAGTTCCAACTTTCTTTTGAATTGCTGCAGAGGACAAGTATGTGTTGCATTTTTTCTGTATTTAGATTATACTCCTAAAGTAAGAGATGGAATCATGAGACAGACACAGATGAGGCTGAAGTATTTTAATCCTCAAAATCCTTGACTGAAACTTGTCCCCACTTCCCAGCAAATTGAAAGAACCAGTCTTTACCTGCTTAGCAGTTGCCTATTGTTGTGTAACAGATTATCCCAAATTTCAAAGCAACAAACATTTTCTTTTTTATCTCACACAGCTTCTGAAGGTCCAAAAACAAATTATGGGTTAACTACGTGGCTCTAGCTAAGCATCTCTTGTGTTTACATTCGCTTGTGAGTTGGGGTGAAGACATCTGAAGGCTTAACTAGGACTGAAAGATCTGTTTCCACAGAAGTTTACTCACATACACGTCAGCTGGAGGCCCTAGTCATTGCCATGTCTAAGATAATAAATAGTTGTTGTTTTAAACAACCAAATATCTGCATAATTACTTATGCAGCAGTAGATAATCAAAACCAATTTCTTTGGTACCAGAATTAAGATATGATCATCACATATCCCAAAATATAGGAGTGATTCTGTAAATCATCAGTGGGCAGTAGCTAGAACAAAATTTGTGGTGATAGTAGTGAAAGTCAAAATTGCCTTGAACTGACTCTTGGTAGAATTCTGTACATTAAATAGCCTGCCATTGAGGGCTTACTGAAAGAGAAAGATGTTATGAGAAACTGGAGGAAAGAAAGGCTTGTTACGTGTCAGAAAGCTTAGCAATTCTTCATATAGACAGTAGAAATGGTGCCTAATGACTGCATCCCATGGGTAAGATTTCCAGTCTCAACTCTCTTACTCTGTGTCATAACATAATTTGGAGGAACGCTGATTATTCCACAGACTATGATATTGATCTATCTGGATGGCACCATGGTGTTTACTGGGCCTGATGAGAAATGAGTAACAATAATTGCATATGACATTGTAATATATAAATGTCCTTGGAAATTCAGGTGCTTCAACCTCAGTCAAGTTTTTTTGGATCCACTTGTCATGCACATGTTGGCATATTTCTTGGAAATTTCCTTGCTATTAAACAAGAGGGAAGGTGATACATTTTGGAACTCCAGGTGAAGATCTCATTACAAATAAAGGCTCAAAATGCTTCTTTGTGCTTTCTGATTTGGTTAAGACTTATTTAGACCTATTCCTTCAACACATTAACCAGGTAATTAATGACTGTCAGTTTTGAATTGTAATTAGAAAAAAAGAAAGGTTTTCTAATAGGTATAGGTTGTGATATAAACTACCTTGACATTTTGACCTTATGTCTCAGCAGATCTAATACTACTTACTAGAAATGCCCAGAGGCAGATAAAGATGTATATGGAGACTGCCTCAAGCTTTATAGGAATATCACAGAAAAGACTTCTCGAGGTTTACAAAAAGACTATGTTGTCTTCTTTTACCGAATATTTTACAATTTAAAAGTTTCATCCACTTTGTTACTAAGCCTTCGTAGGTTAAAATCATGACCATGGGGACACCAGGTGAAAATATTTCTAGAGATGCCTGTCATGAATCTAGTTCACCAAACCATAATATCAGGCATGAACAATAATTATTCACTGTAGAATGTTCTCCCTTTTTAAACTATAGTTGGGCCTTGAACAACATGGGTGATAGAGCACTGACCGCCACACACTCAAAAAGCAACATAACTTTTGACTCTCCAAAACTTAACTACTGATAGCCTGCTGTTGACCAGAAGCCTTACTCATAACATAAACAACACTTTGTACGTTCTATGTGTTATATACTCTATTCATGCAATAAAGTAAGTCAGATAACAGAAAGTGCTATTACAAAAATCATAAGGAAAAGAAAATATGTTTACTATTCATAAAGTAAAAGTGGACCATAAAGATGTTTATTCTTGTCTATGCATTGGGAAGGCTGAGAAGTAGGAAAAGGAGGGATAGGTCTTTCTGTCTCAGGGTTGGTAGAGGAAGAAGAGGTAAAGGATGTGGAAGAGGAAACAAAAGAGGCAAGCACCCTCAGTGTAAGTTTTATTGAAAAAAAAATTACTAAGTGGACTCACACAGTTCCAACTCATATTGTTCAGGAATCCACTGTAGTCTTTTTTTATTAAACACTTTTTATATTGTTTAGTTTGAATGTGTCATATATTTCTTCTGGGACCCTGATTAATACTCTTCGTAGTGATCAAAGTTATAAATTGGTAGAAAGACCTACTTATTGTATGTGTAATGCAGCAAAAAATAATATTCCAAATTTGTAAAGCCTATATTAAAAATTATAAACATAAAGTAGCAGATCTATCATGAGAGGAGCATTTTTTAACACATCTATATGTAATTGATTGTTAATAGAAATACAGCATATTTTTACAATGTAATTAATAAACAATACATCTTGGGTTCAAATGTCCTAGGAGGAGAAACACAATAATTTCTCACACTCATAGAAAAAAAATGACAAACTCTCAATGTATCAAGATGCAAGTCAAACAATAACAATTACCAAAAATCATAGGATCCCAACTTTTTATTTGCAATTAAATAAATGGTAAATCCAAAGTATCTTTTATCTACTTGGGTATTTCTTAGCGATTTTGTTTTAAATTTCACCTGTCCATAATTCTTTACTTTCAACTATATATGGGTTTTGGAAATTATTTTAACTAGATAAGATTTCTCTATTCTTTGAACTTCTAAAAAAAAAAAGTCTTTTCAATCATTCTTCTATGATGTTGTGATTATATAATACTAATAGTTCTACACATAAATATATGGTTAATTTAATGGATAAATCCTTAATTTTAAATCTCATATGAAATCATTTAATTCATGTGTGCCACCACTATACATTTTACATTTTTCTAAAAATAAATATTGGTGGGTTTCTAATTGTATTTAATTCAAGAATCAACCTGATTTATTTCTTCAGGCATTGGAACAAACAAAATAACATTTCTATTTCCTGCAGCAAATACTGTCACCTCATAGTATATTTTGAAGTTCAGTAATGTGATGCATCCAACTTTTTTCTTTTTGCTTAGGATTCCTTTGGCTATTCCAGGTCTTTTTTCTTTTCATATGAATTCTAGAATAGTGTTTTCTAATTCTGTGAAAAATAACAGTGGTAGTTTGATAAAAATAGTGTTGATTCTGTAGATTGCTTTGGGCAGTATGGCCATTTTAACTATATTAATTTTCTCAATCCATGAGCATAAAATGTTTTTCCATTTGTTTGTGTCATCTCTGATTTCTTTCAGCAGTGTTTTTTAGTATTTCTCATAGATATCTTTCATCTCCTTGGTTAAATGCATTCCTAGGTATTTAATTTATTTTTTTAGTGGCTACTGTAAATTGAATTGTGTTCTTGATTTGACTCTCACCTTGAATGTTATTTGTGTATAGAAATGCTACTGATTTTTATATGGTGATTTTGTATCCCTAAACTTCGATAAAAATAATTTGATACATTTAAACAATATGTGGTGGGCTACAAGTTGCAACATAAAGTAGTAGTTTAGTGGAGAACAAATCTTAAATGAGGTTTTTACATCCTTGCTTCTTTCTTTGCTCTTGGTACATACAGTTAGAATGGTTCAGTGTTAGACATCACTCTTAGGACCATGAACTTTCATACATTGGAAGGGAAAGATGAAAAGACTCACCTCCTTGCACAACACTGAAGCATTATAAGAATGAAATGGCAAACCAAGGTTTATTGTCCTTACATAGTGTCACTAACTAACAATTTTTAAATGTGATATTGAACTACCTTCTCTTTCTGTCCTGGCCTTTCCCATATTTTAACCAATTTGAAGCCAGCTGTCATCAAAACTGAGGAGTGATTGATAATTCTACCCATGAAATTCCAGATATTGTTTCAGACTCTGGTAAAGAGTGTAAAAATACATTTAGGTATGTATCAATTTTAAAATATTATTTTCTTATCTAGATCTAGCATAATTAAGCATTCTTTTTGTTTAGTAGTTGATGTGGCTTGGCTGTGTCCCCACTTATATCTCTTCTTGAATTCCCATGTGTTGTGGGAGGGACCCAGTGGGAGGTAATTGAATCATGGGGGCAGTTCTTTCCCATGCTGTTTTCATGATAGTGAATAAGTCTCATGAGATCTGATGGTTTCATGAGGGGGAGCTTCCCTTCAGAAGTTCTTTTTTTGCCTGCTGCCATCCATGTAAGATGTGACTTGCTTCTCCTTGTTTTCCATAATTGTGAGATATTTAAATATAGACATTGATTAGAGTTTAGAAATTTTCTATTATCCCTTTCATTTATTAAGGTAAGATATCTGAGACCCAGAAAGCTCATAGTGTCCTAGATTATAAAGTAAATTTGCATAAGCATTTTTGTATATTTACTTTTGTCTAATATATTATTTTAAGCAATCATTCTTTTTTTAAAGGGTGATAAAGATTAAACTGATTTATTGTTTTGATATGCAATAATTAATGTGCATTTCATTAGGTGACAGAAATGTCAAGAAGAATAAAACAAAGTCTCTGACTTTAAAGAAATCATGTTTTAATGACAGAGACAGACATCTCCTAAACAATTACAAGCTGAAAGATCAAGTGTAACCAGTGGCAATAATTTCTATGAGAGAACAGGACAAAGTGATTCCACCAAAATATAAGCAGTACCATTCATTTTAATCATCAGTACTGTCTCCATTTGGAATTCTTTGCCAAGAGGTATACCTACGTCTACTCTAACTCACAGCAGGAGTTCCCTAACAAAGTGCACAAAGCAGCTTTCTCTTGGGCAAAATATTATTTCACAAGTTCTTCAGTTCCAAGAAAGCATGTCTCCACCACATTGATGCTGTATATCTATTGTTTCTTGACTTTTTAATAATTGCCATTCTCACTGGTGTGAGGTAGTATCTCCTTGTGATTTTGATTTTCATTTCTCTAATTATCAGTGATGTTGAGCTTTTTATCATATTTGTTGGCTCATGAATATCTTCTCTTGAGAAGAGTCTGTTCATGTCCTTTCACTTTTAAATGAATTTTTTTTTGTAAATTTGTTTCAGTTTCTTGTAGATTCTGGATATTAGACTTTTTTCAAGTGGATAGATTGCAAGGATTTTCCCCCACTCTGTAGGTTGCCTGTTCGTTCTGTTGATAGTTTCTTTTGCTGTGCAGAAGCTCTTTAGTTTAATTAGGCTCCATTTATCAATAAAAAAGTGACATTTATTTTTTAAGGAATAAGAAGACAAATCAATAATCAGTTCAATCACCTACCTTTACAAAATTCCATTCTTAATGTGGCACATGCCAATATACATGGGGCATTTTAATATTGGATTTCTGTAAGTGATATCATGAAACATTATAGAAACATTCTGCATCCAACTTGACTCCTGTTGGACTTCTTGTGCAGATATCATCTAGCTATGTCATTCTACAAGCACAATGGGTGCGACAGCAATCTCACTTCTTAACCAGGGACATTTTTTTCTTATAGCTTTAATTTTGTCCACCATTTTTCTCATTAGGGACAGTTTCTGCTTCTTAACTACTCCATTTGCTTAAAAATTGTTATTTCAAAAGCAATAAATAAATAAATAAATAAAAAGGGATTTAGTTTTTCTGACCTTGAGGAAATAAAAATCAACAAGAGGTATGAAACTGTTCTTGGTTTTAACAGGATTCATCATCTAAGTATAAAAGTGACAAACCATAAAAATAAAATGTGTATTTCCCTTACAAATTAAAGTCTCTTTCAATTGGTTTCAAAAGACTTGTTCCTTGCCTCATAAAATGCATATTTTCAACCTTGAAATATAAAAATCATTTTTCTTCTTTCTGACAGATAAAGCCATTTTACTTTGCTACAAAGGATATAGACTACAATAACTGACAATCATAAATATATACGGCAAATGTCCTTGCTCTATTATACGTATATTAAACCTACTTAAAGATAAGCAAAGTAAAACTTCAGTAAATCGTGGTCTGATTTGGGTATGCAGACAATAAAATACTTGAGGCACAGAGTTTACAGAAATATGTCATTATAGAATTTGTAATGGCATAAATTCACTTATCTTACTTGAGTCACAGATAGAAGCTTTTTGAGAATCTCATAATAGATATAAGTTCTAAACTACTAGCTCACTAAATTATAGAGATTGTGATAAAAGACATAAGAACATTAATTATTTAATTTATTAAAATTATTTCAATTTGAAAAATTTCAGCCATAAGCTATTATTTAGCAGTGATGTCACAGTAAATCAATTTTGTAATATCTTTTTGTTAAATTTTATTGTAAAGATTTTTAAAGTAATGCTTAACAGATACTCAAATTGTTAAAGCATTTTATAAATTCAATTCAGTTATCTATATTTAATTTATATTCAGAATTTTAAACTGTACTTTAAACTGTCCTCTAATGTTGGAAGTTTTTAATAATGTATAAGTTTAAAGCATCACTAGATCTATTTCTACCTGCTTATGTTTTTCATATTTTATGATTACTATTATAAGAACATGTATAAATTTGAAAATTAGGAACATCTTTGCCTTCTACCATTGCCAGGCATTGTCATTGACCCATAATCTAACTTTTCTATAATAGACTATAATATATCTGCATAGCCCTCACTGTTGTTAATAAAACAGTAGGATTGTTTGTAAGTGATGTGAAGGCTCATGACAAATGATTACCCATATAGTAAGGATAATTTAAATCTACAATTATGAGGCTTATGTTTCAAAGACTATATTACACAGGATCTCTGTTCTTTCATATATCTCTTTATCCACTATTCAATAATTTTAGTGTCTTTTTTGGATAATAATAATTCTAACTTTCAAATTTGACATTTAAACTTTAAAAATTTAAGAGATTAATATAACAAAACTATATTTTTAGTAATATTTTATTCCCAGGTTTACTGTTGAAATGTGTCACAGCAACCTCTAGAAATTTATAAAGCATATTCAAAAATCTCCCTAGCCTAATGATTCTTTCAAATAAATATACAAGGTCCTGGACTTAACAATAGTTTGACTAAGAATTTTTTGGTTTTATTATGTGTGTGCTAAAGCAATATGCATTCAGCAGAACTCATACTTTGACCACTCATACAAACATTTGTTTTTCACTTTCAGTAGAGTATTCAATTAATTATATGAGATATTTAACATTATTATAAAATAGCCTTTGTGTGAGGTGATTTTGTCCAAGTATAGGCTAATGTAAATGTTCTGAGCATGTTTAAGGTAGACCTGACAAGGCTGTGATATTCAGTGGGTTATGTGCATTAAGTCATTTCAACTTAAAATATTTTCAGCTTATGATGGTTTACAGGACTTAACCCCATTGCAAGTCAAGGAGCTTCTGTAGTGATTTTTGTAATGCCTGAGACCCTAGGAATACAGGAGAAACCTGCTACCTTAAACATTTTAAAGTTTCTACTGTATTATTTATCTATACATCATCTAGTAATATTTCTTCATTCTCTCCCTCAGTCATTTTTTGGCACATGTGCAATGAGTACCGAAATGTCAGGTGCTCTGTGAGAACATAGCATTCTAATGATGAAAACAAACTTAGGATAACAAACTGATGATATTTCCTACTAAGGTTCATACATAAAGGTCCATAGAAAAGCATATATTTTAAAACATATTCCAAGATTGAATGTGTTGATGTGACATCATCGAATTATAAGATTAATTAGTTTACTTCACTTTAGAATTTTTAATATATACCCTAAATAGATATTAAAAATTGAAAGGAAGTAAAAAAGGTATAGGAACTTGATTGAAAGGTGGGTGCTATGGTTTGAATTGTGTTCCCTCCAAATTTCAGGTGTTGTCAATGTGAAAGTATTAATTTGTGAGAAACTTAAGATACGATTATGTGAAAGGACATTTCTTTCATGAATGGGATCCGGTGCCCTTATAAAAGAGCTTGATAGAGGGAGTTTGTCCTTTTTGCCCTTCTACTTTTGTTTATCTGGAGAATCCTGACTAATACACCATTGTTATACACTTGTTAGACTGCATATAAGACAATATTTTAAAATATTTTCAAGGCATTATGAAAAGTATTCTGCAATTTATGCTTTAGAAAGTAAATTTATACCGAAATAAGAAGATTTGATAGCATGAAACCAATTACTGCAAATCGTTTTCTTAACTACATCTTGTTTTTGTTTCCATTTCTACATTTAAAAATATATAAATTAAGAACTCTTGAGAGTTTCAAATATACTCTTTAGAAAGTGAATGCCATACACCTTGTCCAAGTAAGATCAGATGTAATATACATAAGATGTGCTTTCTGAAGGTCTGCCCGTGTACTGAACTTTTGAAAAATGAGATCTAACCAACTATTATAATAAACGAGGCAATTTATAATGATGCAGCTAATTATAATTTCCTCAGCTCTTTTTTCTGTGTTTTCTGCTGTCCTTCAGGACATGATAATTTTCTAAAACATCTCTACTAGATACTTAGTAAGAGAACAAACAATGTATTACTTGTTATTTCATGTAAGGTACTTTCCCAAGAAAAAATAAATACCTAGAGTTAAGAAATCTTATTATTTATAATTCAACATTTCACTCTTTGTTTATGTTAAATGTTAATTTCACAAAGAAAAAAACTTATTTTTTAATATGATGAATAAAATTTCAGATAGGCTTTAATGCAAATGTTGACAGTTTAGTCATCATTAGTAGGGAGACAATTTGTGGGACAATGATGATGATTTACTATAATACCTATTTTGGTTCATAATAGAAAACTTCTATAGGTTTAAAGTTTGTGATAAACTTAGAATAATAAAGAATCTTGCCCTAAATTTGAATATTTCAATTGTTTCACAGCTTGGGACTTTTCTTCAGGCTGGACCTAAAAGAAATGGAAATATTTGTCCAAATTTGTAACATGCATTTATCTTTCTTTTAAACATAATTTCCAGAGAGATGCAGTTTCTGAACATTAATGTTGATAACTATATATAAAGGTAATAGTTTTCTTTTTTTTTATGTAACAAGCTTTTCATAGAATGGTACTGAGACCAGCTCGGTCAGGGAAACCCTAATCCAGTGGCGCTAGAGGAATTAAAGACACACACACAGAAATATAGAGGTGTGAAGTGGGAAATCAGGAGTCTCACAGCCTCCAGAGCTGAGAGCCCCGAACAGAGATTTACTCACATATTTATTAATAGCCAACCAGTCATTAGCATTGTTTCTATAGATATTAAATTAACTAAAATATCCCTTATGGGAAACAAACGGATGGGCTGAATTAAAGGAATAGGTTGGGCTAGTTAACTGCAGCAGGAACATGCCTTTAAGGCATAGATTGCTCTTGCTATTGTTTGTGGTTTAAGAATGCCTTTCAGCAGTTTTCCACCCTGGGCAGGCCAGGTGTTCCTTGCCCTCATTCCCGTAAAGCCACAAACTTCCAGCTTGGGCATTAGGGCCATTATGAACACGTTACAGTGCTGCAGAGATTTTGTTTATGGCCAGTTTTGGGGCCAGTTTATGGCCAGATTTTGGGGGGCCTGCTCCCAACAGAATGGCAATACTACTCCTCCAGGGGCATAAGAAAACAGAGTGTTGGGGTTACTCTTGCAATGAACAATTTAGATATTACAAACATTATAGAGAATTGTAATATTTAATTTATCCTACCTTTTGATTATAGCCTAAAATGAAGAATGTCATTAACTCATTTATAATTTATAATAAAGTGTATTATAATTGGTCATCTCATTGTATATGAGTTCCACAAAAATTAATAATGGTTATTTTATCATATAGCTCTCTACAACATGTTATAATTTGGAATGTTTGCATTTGAGGAAGAGCTAATATAAATAATTAATGCACCTCTTTTGAAATGGAATAGTTTCCTAAACTCACTATTCCACTGTTTCCAGTCATATTGTTGGACACATTTATAGCTCTAATTATATTTATTACAGTGTAATGTGATGAAAACTAATGAGCTAACCATCCATCTCAAGAATCTAGGTAGAATTAAAAAACACGTATTAAACTTAAATAATAAGTTAATAGAATAGAAATTAAAATTAGTAAATTATAAAATAATTCAATGTGAAGAAAAACAAAATGTAATTAGTTCTTTGAAAAGATCAGTGAAATTGATATTCCCTTTGGATTATTAAATTCTTAAAAAGCCATAAATGACTTAGGTAAGAAAAAAGAAGAAATTCCCAAAGATTCTAAAGACATTAAAGATGTGATAAGAGAATACGAATAACTTTATTATAAGTAATTTTATAAACTCAGTTGAAATGGACAAATTCCTAAGGGGAAAAAAGAAAATGATAAAGCATATAAATTATGAATAATCCTACATATATTTATTAGAAATTGAATGTATAATTTTAAGAATTCATCGAGAAACTCCCAGGCCCAGATAACTTTATCATTGGTTTACTTCAAATATTTTAAGAATAGATTACATATATTTAACCTTCTTCCAGAGAAAAAAGAGACATTTCACAGCTCCTTTGGTGGTGTCTGCATAATTCTCACATCAAAACTTGATAAAAATGTTACATGAAAGAAAAATTGCAGGTCATCACTTTTTTGAACATAGACAAAATAATTTTAAATTATTATTGGTAGCTGATTTCTGGAATAAAGTAGTCCCTCCTCATTATTCAACAGTTTTGCTTTTCATGGTTTTTAGTCACCTGTGGTCAATTGTGGTCTGAAAATATTAAACAAAACTTCCAGAAATTAATAGTCTTAAATTTTAAACCATGCACCATTCTGAGTAGTGTGATAAAAACTTCTGCTGTCCCCCTCCTTCTGCTTGGATGGAAATGATCCTTTTGTCCAGTGTTTTCATGTCGTATGCACTGCCTGCCTCTTAGTCACTTAGGAGCTGTCTCAGTTATCAGATCAAAATTCAATATCATCTATAGGGTTTGGTACTATCCACAGTTTCGGGCATCCACTGGGGACCTGGATCTGTATTCCCTGTGGATAAGGGAGGAGTACTTGGCCTATACAGGATAATTCATCACAACTAATGTGTGTTTATTTCAAGTATGGAATACTGCTTTTTACTTAAAAAATGTCTGTTCATGAAAACTGGACTCTACTCAGTGGCTTACACCTGTAATCCCAGCACTTTGTGGGGCCAAGGTAGGCGGATTGCCTGAGTTCAGGAGTTGGCCACCAGCCTGGGCAACACGGTGAAACCCTGTCTCTACTAAAATGCAAAAAATTAGCCCGGCATGGTGGCATGCGCCTGTAGTCCTAGCTACCTGGGAGGCTGAGGCAGGGGAACTGTTTGAACCCAGGAGGTGGAAGTTGCAGTGAGCTGAGATCGTGCCACTGCACTCCAGCATGGAGACAGAGTGAGACTCTGTCTCAAAAAAACAAAAAACAAACAAAAAAGTCAATGTCATTAAAATGTGGAGGGATGGAAATGCTCAATGTAAGTTTCAGCAAAGAAAATGTATTAGCAGACACACAGAGAGAAACAGAGACAGAGAGATAGAGACAGAACAAATGTGGCAAAGTCTTCATCTTTGGTGAAAATGAGTAGAAGTTACATAGTTGTTTATTGTACTAGTTTTCTGGATTGATTATTTTCTCAATGAATAATTTGGGGAAAGGGCAATGTGATTTGCCACATCAATAGAAAAAAAGAGAAAATTTTATTTCAATGAATGCAGATAACATTTAATGAAATACAGTCAATATTTACGGTAATTGATAACAACTTTAAATTGTCGTAACAAACTACTTGTAGGGGATCACTGTCTTAATCTAGTAATGGGTAATATATGCTGCTATGGGTATAAAATGTAAAACCATTTTGGAAAGATGATTGTATCTCCTAAAATTAAATATACCCACATTATATGACCCTGTAATTATGACCCTGTAATTTTACAAACCCAACATAATTGAATACCACATATCCCAGGCTATATGCATTCTTTTCTTAACCTGTGGAATAAAAGAAACATCACAAAAATACTGTGTTCTATTTTTATAGCTTTCAAATGAGGGAAAATGTAAACTAAGCCATATGGGCTTGTTTTAGGAAGTAGGAAAGGGTAGGAATGGATAAAGAAGATGCAGGGGACTTTTGGAATGCCGATAGTGTTGTGGTTTTTAAACGTGTTGGTTACATTTATATTTGCTAAATCTCATCAAGCTGTTCTCATATAATTTGTGCATTTTCTTTTATGCATGCTATGATTTAAAAAAAAGGTTATAGAAGACAAAATGTCATAAAAAGAAGTGATGAAATACAGAATTGATCAAGAAAAATTACCTCAAACCTAATCAGGAGTATAAAAATGAAAACACTTTATAATTTAAAGTGGCAACATTGATGTTGAACATGCAGATATCTTATGCATTGTAAGTTGTGATAGAAACTGATACAACTTTTTACAAATACAATTCATGTTGGATTAAATTTAGTTCATATGGTGGCACAGTATTCTCTTGGTGCCACTTTGCCAGCTGGAAATCTCCATGGCTGGAGGTGCTTCTTCTCAGTCTTCACTTGGGCCACTGGGCTTGCTGTGCCCACTCAACCCCATGCAGGCTTCACTTGGCTCACAGTACTGCCCCAGACCCTGCGACCATCACAGCTCTGTGCTCAGCCTGTGGCTGGTGTGGGCATGCCTCAACCAGCTTCTCCACTGGGCACTGGTGTCTGGATGAGGGGGATGCAGTGGCAGTGCCTGAAAACTTGAATATGCCAGCAGCCACCTAGCCCCAAGGGGTACTACAGCTTCTGCCTGAGCCCCCAGGAAGTGTTACAGCTCTCATTCGTCTCCTCCACCTGCAGCTTTGGTGAATGGGGTCGTGTCACAGCTCATTCGGTCTCTCCATCCATGGCTTGGCGAATGGGGTATATGGTGCCCAGCAATTTTTTTCACTCTTGTAGCTGGGCGAGCAAGAGCATGTGTTACAGCTCTTTTCACATCCACCATTTGAGAGTTCTGGGTTCTTGTCCTGCAACCAAGAAGAATGACTTACACAGACAATGGAGAGTGAGCAAGGCAGAAAAGAATTTTCCTTAGTGACAGAAACGCTCTGGACAATGAGAGGTGACCTGAAGTGGGTAGCACTCTGTGTCAGAAGGGGCCCAAAAGCAGGTAGCTGTCTTTGAAGCTGAGTCTGGGGGTTTTATGGGCTCAGAATGGGGGTGTGTGTGCTGAGTCGACCATGTACAGGTCTGGAAAAAGCATCATTCCATTGGCTAAAAGGAATTGAGGAAATTTTCACTCCAGTTGTGGACTGCACCCTTAAGTGGCAGCTCACTTTCCAGTCTTCAGGCTGTCTGGGAGTTGAAGGTTGGGTTTCACTGGGACCTGTCCCTGTCTGCCTAGGAATTTGTCTGTTTCCTATTGCTATCAATAGCAGGATATCTGTAAGATAATTTGCAAGGCAACATTATTTGTAGTAAAATAAATAAATGCATTAATTAAATAAAAAAACAGGAAATATGTTATTGAGAAAGTCATACAGTTTGGCATTATATATTAATTTTAAATGAACTATGCAAAGATGACTACACATGAACTACAGCATAACATATTACATATTTATAAAGATGAGTTTCCAAAAGTTATTATTATTATTCAATATGTTAGTTATTTCATATTCTTATATGTGCATAAAGGTAGAATTGTAAAACCACAATAAATATAATGAAAATATACTGTGTGTGGTGGCTCAACCTGTAATCCCAGTGACTCCAGAGGACCCCTTGAGCCCAGGAGTTTAGAGATAGAGTGAGCTATGATCACACCACTGCACTCCAGCCTGGGTGATATAGAGACCTGTATCTTAAAAAAAAGAAAAAATGAAAGAAAGTAATTTCTGAAAAATCAAACTCATAGGTTGTATTATTTTCTTTATGAGCATACAAGTAAGATCATAAATTGTAGCTGGGTCTATGTTTGTAGTTGGTGAGGTGAGGGGGCAGCCACTGCACCGTAAACCAGTTGGACCCCAGCTTAGATAAGTGGCTATGTTCCTGTACCAAACTGAGGGTTGGGCTGCTATTTCTTGCGGCCTAATAACGAGATGCAGATGAAATGGGGGAGGAAGAGAGTTTTTATTTCTGTAACCAGTTACAGTGAGAAGGCCTGGAAATTATCTCCAGACCAGCTCAACATTACAGTTTTCCAGAGTTTATACACCTCCTAAGCTATATGTCTACATGTAAGTGTGCATTCATCTAAAAACATAAATGATTAACTTCTTTTAATCTCTAAGTAAGGTCTGAATCTTGAAGACTTTCCTCTGCAGCCTCAATACATTTACTTAATCTAAATGGGTCCAGGTGCTTGGGTGATTACGCTTATCTTGTCTCCTGCTAAATCATGGGAATTTGGGGATTTCCTTCAGGCCTCCAGTAAACTTGTTTGTGGAGGCCTAGGGAGTTTCTTCAGATCCCCAATAAAACTTATTTATTCATAAATGGATCCTGTTAAGAATTCCTTCATTATTTTCTCATGCTTTAAGGCTCAGGAAAGGCCTAGTCAAAACTCTTGGTGGGCTTTTGTTTAATTCCAGCCTTTGTATAAGGGCACTGGCTTTTAATATTTAACTTAACCACTCAGTCAGCACTGAAACAGTTGTTATGGAGGCCTTTGGTGAGACCTGGCCTTCCACAGCCATGTGGGCTTCTGTGGTGCTCTGAGAACAGTCTGCCCCTCCTCTCTCTCCTGAAGAGAGAAGATGAGCTTCCTCTTCAACAGCAGCTTATTTAAAACTTTTAAGAAGAGAAGAATATCCCTGAAATGTTTCCTCACTATAAATTCTTAAAAAATGCAAAGACAACACCAGGAAGTGGAATTTGAGACAAGTTGTTATATTGCCAGAGGGAGAGGGCTTCAGTGAATGGATCACATGCAACAATGTGGATTTTTCTACCAGAATATTAAAGAATTATCTCCTGGAGCAAGCCGTCCAGTCGTGTCTGCATATCCAAAATATAAATATTATTTGGCAGGTGATATTAACATTAAAAAGCTAATCAAATATACTCTTCTAAAATGCATGCGTTATTTTGATGACTTTGGTTCTAAATCAGCTTGATGATACTCATTTTCCTTCTAAGATTACTATCCCATTTCCCAAAATCTTTGTAACAAAGCCTATTTATTCTCAAGTGTTTGTTTAGGGTTTATACCTGTATTTATCAGCAGCACATTGATTCTGTGATGCAAAAGCAGAGGAAGCCTACTTCAACACTTTCTTAAGTACTTAATTTTCTTTGTTTAAGAGCTCAATCTGACTGATAAGGATGAGTTGACACCTCTTCAGGAATTAATTGAGAAGCTTGCAACAAAGATAAGCATTTGTACTAGGAAAGAGTTTTCCTCTAGCTTCATCTATGGCTGGAGCTATCTCATTGCTATCTGCTAAACTAGTGACACAAACTGAGAAAACAGGATAAAAAGACACCCAATATCTATATCTACTGATAAAATTGTCCCAATGGTGGGTAAGCTTAATAGCTTCAGAGTAAGAACTTTAGAGCAAACCAATCTGACTTATTATTATGTGTTATTGCTCCTGTGATTGTGGAATTACACTTTATTGTAGTATGCGATGGCTAATCTGTAGTTTGTTAGTTTTGTTATTTTCCTTTTGCTGAAAAAACATGTTTGGCTGTTTCAGGTGACAGCAAAAGGGGTAGTAAGAATTATTATAAATAATTTGTTAACATGTTTCCAAAACAAATTTCCTAACAACATAATTAGTCATGTCTTCTTTCACTTCTATTTGGTCAATAGAAAATATACTTTAAAGTTTCTTTAACATTAGAACAACTGTATCACTTTGGATACCTTTATTTGCAGGTTTATATGCCAATGTTTTTATAGAATAAGAATACATGTGTATAATTTTATAAGATATATGATTTTGATTCAGGTCATCACATGGTAATTATGAGAGCAACAAAAGTTGTTTCTGATAAGAATTTTTAAAATATTTTAACAGATTTTGGATTTTATTACCCCATAAATCTTTCAAAATTGTTAGGAAAGTCTATGATTATATATCAAAAATATGTTTTCTTAAGGCTTCTGAGGATGATTTTGCAGATTTTTATTTTAAATGCTCTGTTCATTATTTTTAATACATGCAGTTTTGGGTTAAAGAAGTAAAAATTTTAAAACATGAAAAAGGTAGATCTCAAAGCCATGTTTTTATATATGCTATATTTGAGAGGTCTTGAAATTTTGCGTAGGGAAATGAAAAAAAAGTTCTTAGTATTTTGATTATTTTGTATTTAAGTTTACTTTAAAAATTACTTCTATATTTATTTTTATTGTGACTTCATGGGTGAGCTTTTTCTGAATAAACATAACAAAAAAACACACTGAAAACCATGAAGGTGAACGAAATTCAAAGTGCACACATACGAAATTAGATATAAAAATAAATATGTACTATTTATTAGTATATATTCCTAATTATTAGTAAATCTTATTTTAATTGCTCACTTAAACTTTTAAGATTACAATAAAGAGTAAAATTATAATTAATGAGCAAAAAATATTAAATGAATAAAATCTATATTGCATAGAATTTGAAAGCTCTGATGAGCAATTACTATATATAAAACCTATTGATAAGCTTTCAAATATATATCTACATGGTGAACTGAAATTGTTAAGCTTTTTAAATAAAATCTTTTGATTCCTGAATTTAAAACAAATTCCAGAAGAGGGAGATGTTTACTCTCAAATGAAAAATGTGTTGCTCAGTGTGAATAAACTGGTTTCTATAAAACAAAGAATAAGATTTATATATCATCCTAAAATGTATGGAAATCATAGATTCTAACACTATATTGTGGTTAAAATTTCATCTTTATGATGTATTATAGGTACTTTTCCTATTTGTAGGCATGTTTTATGTCAATTGATTTTCTTAATTAAAATGTTTCCTGAAAATTTCTTAATTATTCAAAAATATAAAGATTTTTGTTTTCACAGTCATTTTAAATAGAAATTAATATTTAACATTTGAGAAAATATATTTATCACGATACGTTTTTCAGCAATTGTCAATAACTGTTTTGTTAAAATTCTTTAAGAATAATATAGAGGCAATATATCATAATCTGGAAATACTTTTAAATTAACATGTATTATTTCTAAATATGCATTTATGTACTGATATAGAGATAGCTAGCTGTTCAATCAGCTCTTTTGTATTTTAAAGAAAAAATTATTTAATAAGTAAAGGCAAAATATTTTGTTTTTTTTTTATGAGAAAGAAGGAATGACAATAAATATAATGAAATGTAGTGGTATTCTTAATTGTGAAGATAATATCACAGCATGGCACATTTTTTATTTACCCAGCTGACTAGCCTATGAGGCTCAGTGCTGGCAGTCTAGATCTTGCAGGGAGGACAAATATACATAAAACCCTATGTTTGGCTTCTCCTTCTAAAGCTATCTTGATAAGTAATGTCTACTTCTGCACTCCTCCTATTTAATTTCTTGTCTCTGATATTAAGTAGAAAGATGTGAAAAGCCAGTGTTAATTTCCATGTCATTGGCATTAGTCTTTTGCCAAATCTGTGTATTTTCCTGAAGCAATGTGAACATGTACCCTATGTTTTTCACCAGGTCTATTTGAGATTCTCAACATTACTATGAGTAGTAAGTGGGTGCCTAGTTGAAGAGATTTTTATATTGTTTGTATTACCTTTTCCCTCAGCTTCTTATTTAAATAGCTTAGAACTGTCCCCGGTGTGTGATGTTCCCCTTCCTGTGTCCATGTGTTCTCATCGTTCAATTCCCACCTATGAGGGAGAACATGCGGTGTTTGGTTTTTTGTCCTTGCGATAGTTTGCTGAGAATAATGGTTTCCAGCTTCATCCATGTCCCTACAAAGGACATGAACTCATCATTTTTTATGGCTGCATAGTATTCCATGGTGTATATGTGCCACATTTTCTTAATCCAGTCTATCATTGTTGGACATTTGGCTTGGTCCCAAGTCTTTGCTACTGTGAATAGTGCCACAATAAACATACGTGTGCATGTGTCTTTATAGCAGCATGATTTATAATCCTTTGGGTGTATACCCAGTAATGGGATGGCTGAGTCAAATGATATTTCTAGTTCTAGATCCCTGAGGAATTGCCACACCGACTTCCACAAACTAGTTCCACAAACAAGGGTTGAACTAGTTTACAGTCCCACCAACAGTGTAAAAGTGTTCCTATTTCTCCACATCCTCTCCAGCACCTGTTGTTTCCTGACTTTTTAATGATCGCCATTCTAACTGGTGTGAGATGGTATCTCATTGTGGTTTTGATTTGCATTTCTCTGATGGCCAGTGATGGGGGGAGGGGGGAGGGATAGCATTAGGAGATATACCTAATGCCAAATGACGAGTTAATGGGTGCAGCACCCCAACATGGCACATGTATACATATGTAACAAACCTGCACGTTGTGCACATGTCCCCTAAAACTTAAAGTATAATAATAAAAAAAAAAAATTCACACCGGCCATTTTTCAAAGCTAAGGTTTATTTTCTATGGCTCACATGAAAATATATTTCCAAGTGTAGTGTAGCTAGCCTGCCTGTTTACCAGATTACTATCTATCCAAACATAGGGAAACCTTTAATTCAGGCTAAGGAAAAGAATAAAGTGGTTAGCAAGAAAATATGGGAGCTGAGAGAAGTAAACGGCAGTATTCTAAATAAAAAACAAACACATCTATTAATTAATACTATTTTCTACTCATTTGACAATGATAAATAAATATTTTTTACATTTCTAAAAAATTAGCTTAGAACTTCAGAAAAATTATGGGCTGAAATATCAATGTCAGAATTGTTGAAAAACATATAAAATATTTTTGTGGAAATATCAAAACTATACTGACAATAAACCTAAACTTACTGTATAAACAGTGTTTAAGCTCTGTGAATCATCGTCAACAGCACAAAAACTCTGGCACCTGCACCACGTTAAGTGCAAATTATTTGCTAGAATAATGTTTTTGTTAAAGGAAACACAATATTATTTTAGATATGCTTGCTGTTTTTGTAAGAAAGTTTTCACTCACAGTAAAAAATAATTATATGAATAAAGTTGCTAATGAACTTAAGTGTGAACTTCTGAGTTGGGCAGGCTCTACAAAATTCATGAAGAAATTGCTATTATAAGTGTTTGTCTTCACCTTCTTTTTATGTCATCTTTACACTTTTATTTCACAATCTACAAAGAAGTCTCTTTATCCTATCTTAAACATTCTTCAGTGCTGTATGCATATCATGTATATCCTCTAATTGGTTGTTAGCTTTCCAAAGAAGACGTTAAGATTCCTCTTTCCTACTCATTTTGTACACTGACGGTGTCCACAATCATAATGGAAGAATAATTTAACAATGCTAATTCGATATCCATAATTCCTTGAGATAATGCATAAAAAGAGTATAGGAAAAGAATATTTGGAATACAGAAGCAAAAAAAAAAAGAATTATTCATCTTCAAAATGAAAATATCATTCCTCTCATAAAAATCCTTCAAGGACTCTCAAGTGTATTAAAAATAAAATCGAAATACTTTACAATGACATTAAATGATTTTATCACCTGCTCATTAGCTCTTACCCTTTACTGCGTATTCCATTCCCACAACACCCTTAATGCTCTGAGATCCAATTTTGCCTTCCTGATGACCTTCATCTCTCACACACTGGCATAGCATTCTACCTTTGTAATTGTGTTTACTGCATGAAACTGACACCAATAATTTTGAGATAACATATAGTCATCCAGTAAATCATCTATTTTTTTTTATATTACTGGAAGATTTTCTTTTCTTCCTTACTCTGTGTTAGTTCCTGTATGTTGTGTTTTATAGTCCATTTTACTTCCTGAACTTTAATGCTTTCATGACCACACTAAAATATTTTTCCTGTATGTTCTCGGTACACAGGACCTGTACCTCTCCCTAGTATTGTGTCTTGGAGCTTGTACGTACTATTTATGCAATAATAGTTAATTATTATTTGAATTTATGCTAATCATCTTGCCTTTAATGTTCCCCCAACCTAAAATGTCAACCCATGGGACACATTCATTTTTAAATTATAACCATTTTTCAAGTTCATGCTCACATTTCCTTCTATCACTGACCTTTTCAACTTAACTATTCCAGGTTTTATTGCTTTTTCTCTGCTGTGTTCTTAGATATATTTATTTTAATCATTCTAATGTTTAGTACTCATGTTCTATTGCTTGGTGACCCATGTTGTCCTTGAGATGAAAGTTAGGTTTGGAAAATCAAGGACATGGTATTATGTTTCTGATGAATCTCTAAAGATTTCTAGGTTAGAACTAGGCTGATAATGTGTGCTCAATAAATATTGATGGGTTTATTAAAATGGCCATGGAGAAGGAACAGATAATAATACATGACAACTCATTTTTTAAGATGTTTTTACACACTTGGGAACAAAATTTCAGCTGTCTTTTAAAAGTTTCAAATGTTAGGAGATAAAAATAGTGTCCCTGGACATAAGTGACAGACAGCTGGCTGATAATGTGATGATGAATCATTTGACATTCTTTTATATTTCTTCCTTCAGAACTCTTAATAAGAATGCGTGCCATTAGTCAGCAATAAGGAATCCTGCATAGTTTGTGGGTGGATCACAAAAGAAGTAGCAAAACAATATTTATTGTCAGAATAATCAAATGGTAATATTGTCAATTTATTAAAGGTATAACTCAGTGTAGATGTCTAGGATCCAGAGATGGAACAAAGGAAGGACAATGTACTATAGCTTTCTAGGTTGTCTCTATAAAATGTACTTGTGTGAAGGTAAGACATTCCCTACTCACTACCTGGAATCTTTTCTCCTAGTGCATTTTCACAAAATTGGCTTCTATTTGCCAGTGGGGTTGAAGCTTCAAGACCCTACATTTTTTTTTTCTTCCCAGCACTAGCTTTTCAACACTAGCAGAGCTATCAGCCGTGTGAGCTGAGATAACCACTCTATGCTGAAAGGCTTCTGCATTGCTGGAACAGCTCTCAGCATATGGATATTTTTAACTTTGTCAAAGCAAGGCTAATGTCTATAGTGATTTTTACAATAATGGACATTCCTACAAAAATAGATGTGCTCGTATTTGCGCATTTCCTTTATCAATTTATGCAAATATATTTCATGACAGATGTAATTTCCTAAATTTTACAACTTGAAAATGAAAATATACCTTACGTTACAGGTTACCTCCATATTGTTTCATGTTTGTAAACTTAGTTTTAATACTAATGACTTACCCCTTCTTTACCATTCCTGTGATCCTCTGCTTCCTTATTCAAATGTTCAAACATCACGTTTTTATCATGATTTTTGACACTATGCTTTTTTATCCTTTTTAATATCATTTTATCCATGTTTAACATGATAATATTTAATTTTATATTTGAAATTTGATGAGTGTTTTTAAATTCATAATGCCTAAAATTTAAAGGTCTTTTATTATCAGGATGCCACAGGGAAGACACACATTTTGGAACTATCACAGTAATAGCTATCATAGTAATACAACAACTGACTACAGTGTTTACAGTGATATTTTCCTACTATTAAATGGAGGGATGTTTGTTAGAATGGGTGCCCATGAGGACTTGCCCTGTTACACATCTAGAACACCCTAATTGAAATTGCTCTGACCATAAGCAGAAATGAGATACTTACCAAAATGATGAAAATCCTTAATAATGCTCAGGAGTCCTGCTTACAAACGAATAGATTGCATGTCATTAGAAACAAATGGTTGATGCAGATTAGATTGCTAGGAAAATAGAACACAAAGTTCATGTTTGGAAGATTATAACTAGCATAAAACTTTTATATTTTTTCTTGCTTTAAGTTAAAACAGACTATATCCTGTGAAAGATTTTACACTTTTCAAAAATACATTAAATACATGGTCCCATTTAATCTTTTAAAAAATGCTTAGCAAGCAGCAATTTCACGATGGTCAAATTCCTAATATGAGAGAAGTAGAAATAGGAAAAATAGGTCACCCTGATACTTATGTTTTCATTTTGCTTAATATACGTTTGTATATTTCAATATAACATTAATAGATATCGTGTCCCTTCACAGTTCTAAAGTAGTAAGCAAAATGAATTAATTTAACCTATGCAATTAAAACCAATTTGGAAGAATATTGAGGTAGCACACTGTTACGGGAATTAGTATGACTCAGTAATGCAGTTGAAAGTTAGTGGCTCCTAATCCAGTATGAATCATGGAGATGAGAGAAATGATTAGATAAAGAGATATTTAAAAGTAGAGTATCCCAAAATGATTAAAAAATAAGAAAAAAATCGAGCCTCCTTTGGAATCTGTTGTAGAGATATCAACTTGGCATCTTGGCAGCATAAAGACAGTAAAATGAAAGTCGTGGGTTTTAGGCATATTCACCAAGGGGAGTGTTTAGAATGAGAAGAAAAGATAAACAAGGAAAGTACATTAAGACTTTTTAAGATGCGGAGAAGAGAAATTAAGTACATAGTAAGGATAATTCAAACTTTCAGAGGAAAAGAATAAATGTATTTACATAGAAATTTGGTAGAAAGTATTTCAGTGAAGAAAGATCAATGATCAATATAACAAGTACCTACAAATTAGATGCAGAGACTAAAAAAATTATCCACTAGATTGTATTTCCAGACGCTAATTGCAAATTTAGCAACTACGTGTGGAAGGTTGAATAAAAAATAAACCCATAGAATTAGAGAGCATGTGTGCAAGAAGTGATTTCTGAAAATTTTTGAGGAAAAGGAAAGATAACAGGCGCTAGAGGGAGACTAATATCAAAATAAGATGTATAATTGGCAGAAAGAAATATGCTATCTCATTGAAATTATGGTTGTGAAGGATATTAGTGAGAAAAATTAAAATAAATTAAGGTCAGGTCTAACAAGCTGGAATGACAAGTAATGCCAAGTGCAGGAGAAAAGATTAAGGAGTAACACTTGTGTTGTTACAGGATCGAGAAAGAGAAGAATCAGTATGTTAGAAGTTGAGATATATTTTTAATTTCACATGAAGTAAGATGTAATGCTAATTATTAAGAGTTTTTGGGGTGATAAGAGAAATCTTGGTTTTGAAGATAATGGAAAGGATTTGAAGTGCTAATTATTTATAAATAGAGAAAATTGACTGTAAGAATTATGGAAGTTGAGGTATAATTTTGATTAATATTTACTGTACGACCAGTATGCCAAACATTGCTCAAACTCCTGACCTGATACAATGATACATAGCATAGAGAGAAGTGTCTCTGAACTTCATAACTACATAACTCGTGTCCAAGAATACACATAAAGAAATATATATGCTGTGATCTAGGGATTTAAATGACATTTGGTAGAAAAGAAAGTGGCTTTGTGTTTGCATCCGAAAGTCTGCTTTAGTGGTAGAAGATAAGGAGAATTTAACTAGGTGAATCTAGAATATTAGAAAAAGATAGTAGGAGAGTAAAAAGGGGATGGTTAATAAGTACAAAAATACAGTTAGATAGAATAAATAAGGTCTCATATTTGGTAGCACGATGGTGTGATTGTAATGATTTACTGTATGTTTTTAAAATAACTAGAAGAGTGAAATTAGAATGTTCTGAGCACAAAAAAATGATAAATGCTTAAGGTGATGGATAACCCAATTACTCTGATTTTGTCATTACACCTTCTATGCCTATATCAAAACATCACGTGTGCCATACATATGTACAACTATTATATATACCCATAATAGTTATTAATAAAAATACAAAAATAAAAAAGAAGGAACATCATATATGACAACCCAGAGGTGACTGGCATATGTGATGGCCCAGAAGTTCAGCATGATATAAGAATAAAGAGAAAGGGAGGGAGGAAACAAAAGTATTTTGGGACACTGTTGTGATGCATGGCAGAACATGCAAGAAAATACAAGTTTTTACAAATTGTTTCAACTTATGGTTAACTGTATGGATCAATATAAAATCAGTTAGAAACTAGTATTATGGTTTACCATAATAAGTGAAATTATTGGACTTGATTAAATGCCACCAGAATTGCTTTGGTAAAATGATTAAAATGGAACAAGCCAAAAAGTGAAGAGACTGATCGTGGCATTCTATGGTATTCAAGGTGAGTGATGATGATAGCCTAAATTTTAGAAATGTGGTTATAGAAGAAAAGAGATCTTAACATTTTTGAGATATCTTCAAGAAAACTTTGTGATTTATTGACTTGGGAGTATACAGTAAGATAGCATCAAGGATGAGTCTAACAAATTGTTAGTTACTAGTCAAAAGCTGTTGCCATTCTAACTCAGAGAAACAAGAGCATATTTTGGAAGGCAATTATGAGTTAAGTTTTTGATCCACTGAGATTGATATTCCATTTGAACATCCAAAAAATTATGGTAAATAATTTTTGGTTGAAACTTTTATTTCATTGTGATGTGTTTTTGCTTTTGTTTGCTTTGTTTTCACCCACTTTTTAAAAATGGAAACAGTTTATTGATATTGTTGAAATATTTTATATTTTCCAATTATTATTATTACTATTTTTGAGATGGAGTCTGGCTCTGTTGCCCAGGCTGTAGTGCAGTGGCACAATCTCAGCTCACTGCAACCTCCACCTCCCAAGTTCAGGTGATTCTCCTGACTCAGCCTCCTGGGTAGCTGGGACTAAAGGTGCTTGCCTCCATGCCTGGCTAACTTTTTGTATTTTTAGTAGAGACAGGCTTTCAGAGTGTTAGCCAGGATGGTCCAATTAAATGTTTAATGTTTCCTGGTATTCTATTTTTTTAAAAAAAATTATTCCTTTTCTCTGTTTTACCATTTATTTTTTCTATAGAGATATATGTCAATAATTAATGCTGTTATATATAAATAGATTAATGTTTCATCTGAAAAGAAAACAACTTTTATCATTTTCAAAATTGTTAATATAATAGGTTATTTCACTGACAGTATCAAATAACTTTCCCTTTGAAAGGTAAAGGCATACTTAAAATTCATATTTATTCCTCTATTTTATCATTATCATTCTCTGGGATTTTACATACCAGCTATTAATAAATTTTACATTTGTTATTTGCTATTTAAAACCAGAATTTCTGTTTACATTAAATATGTAACATATTACAAATAATATCTACCCAATGCAGCGTTTAATTTTTATACTTGAGATTCTTAAAGTCATAGTTACTTCTTCCAATTTATTATTTTAAGATGAAAATCACTCACCACTGAAAATTCAGAAATGTTAACATTAATCATATTTGTATATATGAACCTTGAACAAATGACATTAAGTTAAAAAAGTGAGAAATGAAAGAGATATTTTATGATACCACTTACATAAAATATCGAGAATTGGTAAATACGATAATTTAGTGGTTGCTTTCAATGGCAACATTGGTGTTTGCTGGGTGCTAGAAATCAGAAATGTTTGAAGTGTATATTTATAAAATAAAATATTTTTATTTCAACAGCATAATTCTCTTTATTTTACATTTCTATTTTTTTTCAAACTTCTTCACTTGGCCACTTTTGCTGTTTACTACTTTGAATACTGTTTTAATTTTCTACTTTAGTTTTCCTGAACTCTTGACCTTTTCCTGAATTATAAGTATTTTGTCATTATCTCATTATATCATAGATTTTATATAATGAATTATATATTTTTAATAATTTTATTGAGAAACAAAAGCTGATGTGGAAGCAGCTTGGAGATTTACCAAAGAACTTAAAACAGAACTATTATCAACATAGCAATCTTATTATTATCACATATATATCCCAAAAATCTAAGTTATTCTACCATAAAGACATACATATGCGTAGGTACGTTCACTGCAGCACTATTCACAATAGCAAAGACGTGGAATCAACCTAGATGTCCATCAATGGTGGACTGGATAAAGAAAATGTGGTACATATACACCATGGAATACTATGCAGGCATAAAGAAGAACAAAATCATGTCCTTTGCAGCAATATGGATGCTGGAGGACATCATTCTTAGAGAATTAATGCAGGAACAGAAAACCAAATACCACGTGTTCTCATTTATAAGTGGGTGCTAAACATTGAGTACTCATGGACACAGAGAAGGAAACAATATACACCAGGTACTTCTTAAGGGTGGAGGATGAGAGGAGCATGATGATTGAAAAACTGCCTATCAGGTACTGTGACCATTACCTGGGTAATGAAATATCTATATACCTAATCCCTGTGAAATGCAATTTACCCATGTGACAAACCTGCATGGGAACCCCCTGGACCAAAAATAAAGATTGGAGGAGAAAACAAAAAAAGCAGATGTATCATGAGATTGTATTTACTTTTGTTAAGTGTAAACACTTCACAAAAGTGTTGTGTTTACTTTTGTTAAGTGTAAACACTTCACAAAAGTGTTGTGTTTACTTTTGTTAAGTGTAAACACTTCACAAAAGTGTTGTGTTTACTTTTAAGTGTAAACACTTCTTTTGTAATACTCTTTTGTAGTATTTTTCAACTACACCAAAAATACTGCTTTCTTTCCTTTTTACTAAGACCACTCACCCCTTTTGTACAAAATAGATATTCCCAGATCTGCTTCGTACCCGATAACATCTTTTAGCATATAACTTATCTTTATATATTACTGCTCTCAGATCTTGATGTAAGGGGCTCATCAGTGTTTACAGACTTATCTGATATGTTTTTATTGTAATGGTGCATGAAATATTCCAAACTTCAGACTATATGATTTACACAATGTTGGAAGATGGGAAACTTTCCTGCTTGGTGATTTCACATTCAAAATATAACATTCTACATCATCTATTACCAAATATCAAAATTATACTTATTGAAAATATAATTCCAGAATGAATGCATAGAAGGATGTAAATGAGAGTAGTGGATCAGAGTGGTAAAAGGGATTGAGACAATTCTGAATTTTTAAAGTAATCAAAACCTCCCTTTAAAGGTAAAACCTCAATACAGCTTTAGTTGGCTATTCATAGTGGAGGGAGAACACAAACATTGTATTTTCTTGTATTACAACTAATCTTCTGTAACAAGATTTTTTCACTTGAATATGTATTTATTATTATCAATAAGTCCTTTTGACAAACAGATTACCAAGTAAAATCACTTATTTCAAAAGTTTTGAATAGATTGCCATTGTCTGTAACTCCTAAATATTTAGATGTTGGCAGATGGTGAATTGTGATTTGGTTTGCCTAAAAATGTGAACTCAATACTCATATGAGTTTTTTATTATAATTTGATTATATATGTCTTCTTATTCTAACAGATATAATTTTGTCATACTTTTGTTATTGACTTTTAGTAGAAATATCATTTATAACATGCTTCCTTTCTTAAGACTCATATTGCTTATTCTGTTTCTAGGTTTTACGATGGGAGCTGCAAAAGTGTGCTTTAGAAAATGAGATTTTGATATATTTGCAAATTACATTAAATGTGCTCCTGTCAAGTACAGCTAAGAATTCCTGAAAAGATTATTACTTTGGTCACTTGAGTCTTCTAAACACACAAAAAGCTTTTAATGTGCCCACTGAAGATAGATTATTTCCTCTGAAGAATTGTTTTTACAATTGCAATGACTTTTAGTTCTTAGACCTGAAAATTAAAACTACCTAGCTGAACAAAATTAAGACATTAAAAAAATAAGCATTATGTCTTACATTATTACAAATAAGCACTAAAATAGTATTGAATAAAATAATATTTAAATACACAAATAAGAAATCTCATGGTCTGCTAAATCTATCTGTATATTTATTTATTTATTTATAATAAATTATATAATTCCACTTAAAGTAAAATTCCACTGGATATTTCTTAGAATATAGTAATTACAAAGGAGACCGTAGAAACCTTGAGAAAATGATGCAGGTATACCTTAGAGATTTACCTATAGAAGCGTGGGAAAACCCACTATATCTTTTTTCAAAGACTTAAGCTTCTGTTCAAGAATTATTTTCTATTTAAAGACTATAGTCACCAAGGGAAACCAAAACCTGGTATTAAAAGAAAGCTGTTCCATGTTGTGTTTACTGCCAGACTGTTGTTCGGAAACATTTTGTCTACCAAAATGAGTAACTTCCTTTCAATAAACCACATCAATTCTAATGTAGCTCTTTCCATAAGCATTAGCTATATTGTTTTCAATATTTTAAAGAAGCATACCACTTGGTTCACTGTTTTCTCTTTATTTATTACTTGGGTCCCCTTCTTTCCTTCAGTACTCCACCGGCATCAATCACCCAAGCCCCTATTAACACATAAACTACAAGCCTGCCTCAAAAATACTGTGGCTCAGTTTTAAACCACCTCAAAAAAGTGAGTCACATACATTTTTTTTTGGTTTCCCAGTACATATAAAAGTTGTTTACACTATACTGTGTCTATTAAGTGTGCCACAATATTATATCTAAAATGAACAAGGTATATATCTTAATTTTTAAAATACTTTATTACTAAAAGAATGCTAACAATTATCAGAGTCTTTAGCAAGTCAGAATCTTTTTGCTGGTGGAGGGTCTTGCCTTGATGTCGATGACTGCTGACTGATGAGGGTAGTGGTTTCTGAGGGCTGGCATGTCTGTGGCAGTTTCTTGAAGACAAAAGTGAAGTGTGCTATATCAATTGACTCTCATTTCATAAAAGATTTCTCTTAGCATGTAATGCTCTTTGATGCCACTTTCTCCACAGAACTTTTAAAATTATAGTCAGTCCCCTCAATCCCTGTTGCTGCTTTTTCAAGTAAGTTTATATATCATTCTCAATACTTGATTGTCATTATCACAATGTTAACTGCATCTTCATAAGGAGTAAATTTCAAGAATCACTTTATCATCCATAAGAAGCAAATATTCATTGATTCTTCAAATATTATCAAGAGACTGGAGCAAGGCAGTCACAACTTCAGGATCCATTTTTAATTCCACTTCTCTGTTTATTTTCATTACATCTGCAGTTACTTCCTCCACTGAAGTTCTGAACCATTCAAATTCATCCTTAAGGGTTGAAATTAACTTCATTCAAGCTCCTGTTCATGTTGATATTTTGACCATCTTCTTTGAATAACAACTGTTCTTAATGGCATCTAGAATGGTGAATACTTTCCAGAAAACTTTCAATTTACTTTGGCCAGATCCATCAGAGGAAGAAGTATTTCTGGTAGCTATAGGCTTAAAAATATATTTCTTAAAAAATGAGACTTGAAAGTTGAAATTACTTCTCATTTCATGGGCTGTAGAATGGATATTATGGTAGCAGATATGAAAAGAAGCTTCTTGTATATCTATTATTAGAGCTCTTGAGTGGCCATGTGCATTGTCAATGATCAGTATATTTTGAGAATACTTCTTTCTGAGCAGTAGGTCTCAATAGCAGGCTTAAAATATTCAGTGAACCATGCTATAAACAGATATGCTGTCATCCAGGCTGTATTGTTCCATTTATAGAACATACGCCAAGTAGATTTAGCATAATTCTTTAGGGCTCTAGAATTTTCAGAATGGTAAATGAGTATTGGCTTTAACTTAAACTTACCAACTGGTTATTTACCCACAGGAAAAAAAAACAATAACACTATATCAAAGGGATACTAACACTCACAAGTTTACTTTAGCACTATTCACAACAGCAAAGATATGGAATCAACTTAAGCGTTCATCAAGAGATTAATGGATAAAGAATATATGGAAGATATAGTCAATGGAATAATATCTAGTCACAAAAAAGAATAAAATCATGTCATTTGCAGCAACATGGAAGGAATTGGAGGTTATTATCTTAAGTGACCTAAGCCAGCCACAAGAAGGCAACTATCTCATGTTCTCTCTTTTACATGGGAGCTCAAGAATGGAATCACATGAAGGTAGAGAGGGGAAACATAGACAACAAAGACTGAGAAGAATGAGTGAGTGGGAGGGGAGAGAATGAACAGAACTGGGTTAAACAGTACAAACATACAGTAAGATAAAATGAATATATTCAATGTTTGATAGCAGAGTAGGGTGACTATATGTAACAAAAATGCAATGTACTCTAGTGACAGACATCCTAAATACTCTGACTTGATAACTACACATTATATACATGTGACAGAATTTTTCAAGTATCCCATACATTTGTACAAAAAAATTAAATAATTAAGTCACCAGCTACATTAGCCCTTAACAAGGGAGTCATCCAGTCATTTAAAGAATAGAAGCCAGACATTGATTTCTCCTTTATAGCTATGAAAGCCCTAAATGACATCTTCTTCCAATAGAAGGCTGTTTTCTCTACATTGAAATCTATTGTATAGTGTAGCCACCTTCATCAATTAGCTAGATCCTCTGGATAACTTGCTGCATCTTCCACATCAACACTTGCTACTTCGCCTTTCATGTTTATGTTATGAAGATGGCCTCTTTCCATAAAACTGATGAGCCAAGTCGGCTAGCTTTGAACTTTTCTTCTGTAGGTTCCTCATCTCTTTCAGGCTTCCAGAATTAGAGAGAATTAGGGCTTTGCTCTCCATTAGGTTTTGACTTAAAGGAATGTTGCAGCTGTTTTGATCTTCTATCCAGACTACTAAAACTTTCTCTATATCAGCAATAAAGCTGTTTTGCTTTCTTACTTTTCTAGAGAAACTTTTCTAATTTTCTAGAAAAACTTTTCTTTCACAATCACAACTTGGCTAACTGGTGCAAGAGACCTAGCTTCCAACTTGTCTTGGCTGTCAATGTGCCTTCACTAAGCTTAATCATTTCTAGCTCTTGATAGGAAGCGAGAGACATATGAATCTTCTTTTCATTTGAACACTTAGATGCCATTGTAGGGTTATTAATTGGCCTAATTTTAATATTTGTGTCTCAGGGAATACGAAGACCTGAGAAGAAGAAGATCAATGTAGGAATGATTGGTTGGTGGAGCCATCAGAACACGCAATATTTATCTATTAAATTTGCCATCTTGTATGAATGCAGTTTGTGCTGACCTAAAATAATTACAATAGGAACATCAAAAATCACTGATCACAGGTCACTGTAAAAGTTAGAATAATAATGAAAAACTTTGAAATATTGTGAGCATGACCAAAATGTGACACAGAGAAATAAATTGTGCACTCGCTGTTAGAAAAACGGTGCTGATAGATTTGCTGGGTGGAGGGTTTCCTCAAAACTTCAATTTGAAAAAAATACATTATCTGTGAAATGCAACAACATGAAGCAGAATAAAATACTGTATGCCCCCAGGTAGATTTTTGGTTTTTTATTCTTTCACACTTTGGCTTGTGGTCATCTGATTATATATATGGAAATGTGTGTCATTACTCATCTCATCAAAAATGTGACAGTTATTATGCACACATTTCTGAATTTATCACTCAATGCTAGGTGTCATTGCTTTAATACATTGGTAATGGTCCAATATATGCTTTGAAATTGTTTTAGAAAAGCATTGACCAATTGATATTTTATTATTTGTAGTCCTCTTTTTGTGATCGCAAAGTATGTGAAAATAAACATCTTTGAACTTCTCTTCTCATAAACAAGTGTGTTTTTTACTCTTAGGGATGGGTTCCCAGAAATGGAATTGTTGGAACAAAGTGTACACGCAATTTTAATTTTTGTAGATGTTGCCAGATGGCTTTGTAAGGTTTTTTTTAAACAATTCACATCTCTTCTAGCATTGTAGGAGAGTACTTTAAGCCTGCATTCCTGTTGACAATAGATGTTATTACTCATTTCAGTTTTGTCAGACTGATATGTGTAATGTGATATCTCATTCTTACTTCAACTTGCATTTCCCTGACTAGCAGTACATTTCAGCATATTTTCATATGTATGCTGGTCATTTGAATTTGCTGTTATATGACTTGCATTTTCATATTCCTGCCTTTTTTTCTATTATTTTGGGGGGTTAGTCCTTTGTATGTAACACACGTTGTGTTTATATTACAAGTATTTTTAATTTAAATTCAATTGCTTTTCTGTTAATCTTCTCAGTATTACTTTTTCTAAATAAATACAGTCTGCCTTTTAAATTACAGGGTTTTTTTTAGTTCAGAATATACTAAACTCCCCTAAGATTGTAAATGCACATTCAGGAATATTTTTGTAGGGCTTTTATTTTTTAAAGCATCTATTTTTCTATTCTAAGATATATGCCCAGGTTTATACTATCAAACTTTATTTTACAAATTTACTTATCTTGCACCTCTTGCAATCGGCGTTACTATCTTTTAAAATATTTGGTACGATTGTCTGGTCCTGGAGATAACATTTTTGGAGAGAATTTTAGTTACAGATTCAATTTCCTTAGTAAGAGTGCTTTACAGTTTTATGTTTCATACTGAATAAGTTAATATAGAATATACTTCTCTAGGAAATAATGCCTTTTTACTAAGTTGTCTTATTTATATGTGTAAAGTTTTTTTGTAGTATTCCTTTTTAAATATTTACAATTCATAATTCTCTATTTTATTCTTAGTATTAGTAATTTGTGTCTTGTCTCTTTTACCTTTGTTAGTCTTCTTAAAGGCTTGTTAGTTTTACTGAGTTTTTCAAAGAACTGGCTTTCTGTTTAATTTTTATTTTCTGATTTTTTTCTATTTTCATTTTTATGATTTTCTTCATTTTACTTGATCTGGGTTTAGTTTGCCCTTTTTTCTAGTTTCTTAAGTTGGAAACTTAATTATTTACTGTAGATTTTTCTAATATAAACATAATGGAGTAAATATTTTTCTCAGCAATACCGTAGTTATAAACCACAAATCTGGCAACTTCAATATTTATTTTCATTCACTGTTCTTTTTAAATATATTCAAAACTTCCTCTTGGACCAACAGTTTATTAAGAAGTGTGGATTGTTTGGTCTGTCATTAATTTTGACTTGGTAATTATCAATCAAGCATCAATAAACATTTGTGTGGAGCTTTTTGTATGGCTATAAATTTTCAACTCATTTAGGTAAATATGAGGAGCACAATTCCTTGATCATATGATATGACTATGTTAAGCTTTGTAAGAAACTTTCAAAATGTCTTCCAAAGTGGTTGTTCCATTTTGCATTCCTACCAGTAATTAAAGAGTTCCTGTTGATCAATGTCTTCATAAGCATTTGAAATTGCTAGTGTTTTGGGGTTTAAATGTAGATAGAGTAAAATTTGTTTTATTTTTTTTAACTTAACTTCAGAATGATGTGATGTTGAGCATCTTTTCATACACTTATGTCTATTTGTATATCTTTGGTGAAATGAAAATTCAGAATTGTTGTGCCCCTTTTAAAATTAGGTGTTTTGTTTTCTCATTGTTATTGAATTTAAAAGGCTCTTTGCTTATTTTGAGCACACTTTCTTTATCAGATATGTGTCTTGCAAATATTTTCTCCAAGTCAGTGGCTTCTTGTTTTCTTCTATAAAAAATGTATTTTGCAAAACAGAATTTTAAAATTTTAATGAAATCTAACTGAAGTTTTTGTTCTTTCATGAGTTATGCTTTTGGTGTTTTTGTTTTATCTAAAAAGTCATCATCATATCCAAGATAATCTATATTTTGTCTTATGCAATCTTCTAAGACATTCTATAGTATTATGGTTTACAAACTCTGTGGTAAATTACTTAAACATATAAAATCTTGCCGGGCATGATGGCTCATGCCTGTAATCCCAGCACTTTGGGAGACCTAGGTGGGTGGATCATGAGGTCAGGAGTTTGAGACCAGCCTGGCCAATATGGTGAAACCCTGTCTCTACTAAAAATACAAAAAAAAAAAAATTAGCTGGGAGTGGTGGCATGTGCCTGTAGTCCCAGCTACTGGGGAGGCTGAGGCAGGAGAATGGTGTGAACCCAGGAGGTGGAGGTTGCAGTGAGCCAAGATCGCACCACTGCACTCCAGCCTGGGCAACAGAGCAAGACTTGCCCCAAATTAAAAAAAAAAAAAAAAAGGTACAAAATCTGTGCCTAGATTCTTTTTAAAAATGTGCCCAATTATTAAAGCAGTTTTTTATGAAAAGATTATATTTTTCTCCATTGGATTGCTCTTTTTTTGTCAAATATCAGTTTATTCTATTTCTGGGCTCTGTTTTCTGTTTTCATTGTTCTGATTGTTTACTATTTCTGCCCATATCACATTTTATAGATTACTGTAGCTATACAGTAAGTCTGGATATCAGGTACTGTCAGCACTCCAATTTGGATTTCTTAAATAGTGTGTTAGTTATTTTGGGTCATTTGGCTTTTCATATACATTTTAGAATCTTTTCTGTTTGTCTGTGTTTAATTTTTTATATCCACAATGTAAGTACTTGGGATTTTGATTGGAATTGTTTTGAATCTATTTGTCAATTGAAGAAAATGAACAGCCTTAAATCTTTCTATGCATGAGTTCGAAAAATCTCTCCAATGATTTAAAACAAATTTGATTTCTTTCCTGAGAGTTTTGTAGTTTTTATCATTTAGATATTGCCCATATTTTTGTTAGATTTATACCCAAATCACCCTCTTGTTTCTTCTTTTTATTTTTATGGGGAAGGAGTGGGGAAGGTGATGCTAATGTAAATAGTGCTTATTTTTAATTTCAAATTTAAGTTGCTCCTTGCTGGTATAGAAGAAATCACTTGACTTATCTATATTAAACTTGTATCTGCAATCTTGCTACAGTTGCTTACTTTTAATTAATTAATTTATTTTAATTGATAAATAAGGTGGAATATATTTATCATATAAAACATTATGTTTTGAAATATATGTACACTGTGGAATGGCTAAATAGAATTTATTAACATATGAATTACCTCACATTCTTTCATTTTTTGTGGTGAGAACACTTAAAATCTACTCTCAGTGATTTTTAAGAATACAACACATTGTTTTTAATTACAGTCATCACATTGCACAATAGACCTCTTGAACTTATTTCTCTAATGCGAATGAAATTTTGTATCCTTTGGCCAACATCTCCTCAACCATACTCCCTCCCACAACCGCAGCCTCTGGTGGCCACCATTCAATTCTGTGGCACTGTGAGTTAATATTTTTAGGTTCCACATAAAAGTGAGGTCATGCAGTATTTGTCTTTCTGTGTCTGGCTTATTTCACTTAACATTATGTCCGTAATGTCCTACGGATTCATCTATGTTGTCATAAATGACAGGATTTTTTTCTTTTTAGAAGTTGAATAGTATTTCATTATGTGTGTGTGTGTGTGTGTGTGTGTGTGAGTGATACATATAAATCCAGTGTGATGTAGGATTTTTCTTCTCAGCCACTTTGCAAGCTGGGACTTCTGGCCAGCAACTCCCTGCCCAGGCCCTGCTCAGCTACAGCGGCATGCCCAAACTCAACTGTGTTATAGCTTGTACCCATGTTCGACGGTTTCTGAGGTCTTATACCATGCCCAAGAAGAATGAGGATACACTGGACATTAAGTGGTGAGAAGGGCAGAGAATATAAATCCCAAGTTCATTTTCTTTATTCTTTTATCCATTGATGAACACAGTTTGATTCTATAGCTTAACTATTGTGAATAATACTTCAATGAACATTGGTGTGCAGTTCATTCTCTGACATGCTGATTTCATTTCCTTTGGATATATATCCAGGGGTGAGATTACTGGATCATAGGGTGACACTATTTTTATTTTTTTGAGAAACATTTTTGCGTTTTCCATAATGGCAGTATTAATTCATATTCCCGCCAACAATGTATACAAGGCTTCCCTTTTCTTTATGTGCTCACCAACACTTATCTTTTATCATTTTGATAATAACCCTTTCTAACAGGTTTGAGGTGGTATCTCATTCTGGTTTTATATTTCCCTGAGGATTAGTGATGTTGAGTATTTTTTCTCATATACCTGTTGGCTATTTGTGATTCTCATTTTTAGAAATGTTTAATTAGGTACTTTGCTCACTTTTAAATTAGGTTGTTTTCATACTACTGAGTTGTTTAATTTTTTATATGGTTTGGTTATTAGACACTTATATGCATGGTTTGCAAATATATTATCCCATTTCATAGCTGTCTCTTCACTCTGTTGTTTTTTTTTTTTTTCTTTGGCTGTGATGTAGGATTTTTCTTCTCAGTCAGTTTGCAAGCTGGGGACTTCTGGCCAGCAACCCCTTGCTCAGGCCCCGCTCAGCCACATTGGTGTGCCCAAGCTCACCTGTATTATAGCTTGTATCCAGGTTTGGTGGTTTCTGAGCTCTTATACCATGCCCAAAAAGAATGAGGATATGCTGGACACTGAGTGGTGAGGAGTGCAGAGAAGAATTATATTGAGTAATGAACAAGCTTTCAGTGAAGAGAGAACACGGGGATGGTCCCTGTACTCAAAGGTGGGAAATTCCCAGCATGTGGCTGAGTCTGAGGCCTTTTATGGACTCAGAATGGGGAGTGTGTGCTGATTGGTTTGTGAGTATGCAAAAAAGTTAAAGGGAAGACACCACTCAAAGGTGGCCACAACAGTGTAGAAAACCAATTAGGAAAGCGTAGGTATATTTAAACTAGGTGAAGTGTGGGGATCAATCAAGGGAAGCATGCCAAACAGGAAGACAAGTTCTCACTCTGGTCCGAGGATTTAACTTTTAGCTTGGCTTTAAGGTTTTAAGCTGTCTTTCGCTCAGAGGTGAGGTTTCATCAGGGATCCATCCCTATCTGCCCAGGCATTTGGCTACCTCCTGTAACTATCAGCTGTACAAAAGCTTTTTCACTTGATGTATTCCTATTTGTCTGCTTTTTGCCTTTGTTGCCTAGACTTTTAGGGTCATATCCAAAAAATTATTGTCCAGAAAAACGACATGGGGCTCTTCTCCTATTTTTGCTCTTAGTAGTTTTAAAGTTTTGGAACTTACATGTAAGTCTTTAATTCATTTTGAGTTGATTTTTGTATGTGGTGTGAGTCAAAGGTCTAATTTTATTCTTCTGTATGTCAATATTGAGTTTCCCAATACTATTTATTAAAGAGACTGTAATTTCCTCATTGTGTATTCTTGATTTATGTAAAAAATTAATTGACCACAAATGCACAGACTTTCTTGTGGGCTGTCTATTTTGTTCCATTGGTCTATGTGTCTGTATGCCAGTACTATACTTTTTTAATTACTAAAACTTTGTGTTATGTTTCAAAATCAGGTAGTCTGATGTCTCCATCCTTTTTCTTTTTGCTTAAGAATGCTTTGGATTTGGGGGTCTTTTATGGATCCATACAAATTTTAGGATTGTTCTTATTTCTGTGAAAAATTTCATTGGAATTTTAGTAAGGATTGTATTGAATATCTGAATCATTTTGGATAGTACGGACATTATAACAATAATGTAGGTAATTCCTCCAATCCATGAACATGTGCTTTCACATTGTTTGTGTCTTCTCCAATTTTTTTCACCAATCTTTTAAAGTTTTCAGGGTACAGAAATTTTGTCTCATTGGTTAAATATTTTCCTATGTAATTTTTGTAGTTATTGTAAATAGAATTTTTTTTATTTATTTCTTTTTGACATAGTTCAGTGTTAGCATGTGGAAACACTAATAATTTTTAATTGTTTATTTTGTATCCTGATACTTTACTGAATTAGTTTATTAGTTATAGTAGTTTTGCAGGAATCTTTAGGGCCTTCTGTACCTAAGATCATACTGTCTCCAAACAAGGACATTTTAACTTTCTCCTTTTAAATTTGGATATCTTTTTTTTTCTTTCTCTTGCTAAATTATTCTGGCAAAAACTTTTAGTAGAATGTTAAACAGAAGTGGTAAGAGTCAGCACTTTGTCTTGTTCCTAAACATACAGAAAAAGGTTTTGACTTTTCACTATTTACTATAATGTTAGTTGTGATTTTTGTCACATATGGCCTTTATTGTGTTGATATAACTTCCTTTATACATAAATTATTGAAAGTTTTTATTATAAAAGAATGTTGAATTTTGTCAAATGCCTTTTCTGCAAATATTGACATGCTTATATAGTTTTTGTTCTTAATGCTGTTAATGTTGTCTGTCACATTTATATATTTGAGTGTGTTGAAACATTTTTGTATCCCTGGAACAAATCTCACTTTATCATGGTGAATGTTCCTTCTGATTCATTTTAATTAGCTAGTGTTGTTTTGAAGATTTCTGCATGGGTTTTCATCAGGAAAATTCTGTTCTGGTAGTGCCCTTGTTTATCTTTAGTATCTAGGTAAAACTGGCCTGGTAAAACGAGATGGAAGCATCCCTACTTCTTTATATATTTGAATGCGGTGATAATGATTGGTATTAATTCTTAAATGTTTGGTAGAAATCAGCAGTGAAGCCATTAGGTCCCGGGCATTTTTTTGACAGCAGACTTTTTATTACTGATTCAATTTCCTTAGTTGTTAATGGTCTGTTCAGGTTTCCTATTTCTTCATAATTCAGTCTTAGAAGGTTGTATATATTTAGAAATTTATCCATTTCTTCAAGGTTATGCATTTTGTTGGGGTTTAATTATTCATCCTAGTTTCATGACCCTTTGTATTTCTGTAGTATCAATTGTAATGTACCTTCTTTTTTTCTGATTTTAATTACCTGAATTTTTTCTTTTTTTCTCAGTCTACCTACAATTTGTGTATTTTATCTTTTCAGAAAACCAACTCCCTTTTTAAAACTGTTTTCTAGTGTCTGTTTTATTTCTGATCTGATATTTAATGTTTTATTCTTTTTATTTTCTTCGGTCTTAGTTTGTTCTTTTTCTAATTCCTTGAGGTATAACAGTTTGTTTATTTGAAATTTTTATTCCTTATTTATATAGGCATATATTGTTATAAATTTCTGGATCTGCTTTTGTTGTGTTTTTAAAATTTTGGTATATGTTCATGTTTATTACATTATAATATTTTTAAATTTTATTTTTAAATTTCCTCTTTGCCCCGTTGGTTGTTTAGAAGCATGATGTTTAATTTACATGTATTTTTAGATTTTCCAAAATTCTTCCTGATACTGATTTCTAGATTCATACCATTATGGTCCAAAAAGATACTTGATTTGATTTCTATATTCTTAAATATGTCAAGACCTGTTTTGTGGACTAATATATGATCTATTGTGGAGAATGCTCTCTCTGTGCTTGAGAAGAATGTATATTCTGCTGCTGTTGGATGGAATGTCCTGTATGTCTTTTAGGTCTATTTTGTATCAAGTGTAGTTTATATCCAATGTTTTTATATTGATTTTCTGTCTCAATACTCTGTTCATTGCTAAAAGTGGGTTATTGAAGTCCCTTAATATTGTCGTATTATAGTCTATGTCTCCCTTCCAATCTACTAGTATTTTACATATTTCAGTGTTTCAATATTGGATGCACGTATATTTACCATTTCTTCCTGGTTAATTGATTTATCATTATATAATGACCTTCTTTGTCCTATTTTATAGTTTTTGAATTAAAGTCTTTTTTTTTCTAATATAGGTACTGCTCATTTTTTGTTTCCCTTGGTACCTGGCATATCTTTTTCTATTCTTTCACTTTCACTCTATATGTATCCATAGAAGTGAAGTGAGTCTCTTGCAAGAAGTATGTAGTTGGGTCTGGTTTCTTTATCCATTCAGCCACTCTATGCCTTTTGATTAAAGGATATAAGTCATTTAGATTTAAAGTTATTGTTTACTTCTGCTATTTTTAAATTGTTTTCTGTTGTTTTATAAGCCCTTTGTTCTTCTCTTCCTTTTGCTGTTTGCCTTAGTGATTAGATTACTTTCTTTAGTAATGTACTTTTATCCTTTACTTTTTCTCTATTGTGTATCTTACTGAGGCTTACAAAATATCTCATAATTATGACATACATTTTTAAGCTCATAAATTCATGTCTTTTGGATAAAATACACTACATTTTTACAACAACCCCTGACCACATTTTAAATTAATGTCACAGTTACATCTTTTTATACCGTGTGTCCCTTGTAAAATTATTGTAGGTATTATTATTGTAGTAGTGTTGTCTTTTAAACTTTATTCTAAATTTACAAGTGATTTACACATTATCGTTACAGTGTTAGAGTTTTCAAATTTGACTATATACTCACTTTTACTTTTTTATCTATATCTAACTTTTTCTTTTTTAAATGTAGGTCTATGTTTCTGACTCATTTCATTCTCCATGTTTCTGAAGAAGTTATTTAAACTTTTCTTTCAAGGCCGGTGTCCTGGTGACAAATTCATTCAATTTTTGTTCGTCAAGGAAGTCTTTAATTTATTTTTCAATTTTGAAGAATAATTTTACTGAATAAAGAAATATAAGCTGGTGTTTCATTTTGTTTTTCTTTCAACAATTTAAAATGTCACTCTACACTTTTGCTAAAAATGTTTTTGGAGAAGTGCAGTGTAATTCTTCTCATTGTTTCTCTGGAGGTAAAGTGTTCTTCGTTTCAGGCTTTTTTAAAGATTTTATGTTTGTCTCTGGTTTCGTATACTTTAAATATAATATATCTAGGTGTAGATTTTTTAGTATTTATCTTGGTTGCTGTTCTCTGAGCTTCCATAATCTGTAATTTAGTGTCTGTCCTTAATATTTTTAAAAATCTCAGCCATTATTACTTCAAATTATTCTTCTGTTCCTTTTGATCTTTCTTCTCTTTCTTTTATTACAATTATGCATATGTTACATATTTTATAATTATCTTATGGTTTTTGAAAATCCTGTTTTATAGTTTTGAGAGTTTTCTCCTTGTATCTTAGTTTCAAATCTATGGTTTATCTTCAAGCTTATTGATTTTTTCACTGGCTGTGTGCACTCTCTGATAAGCCCATATAGGAGATCCTTCATTTTTGTTACTAGGTTTTTTTTATTTTTAGCATTTCCTTTTGATTTTTCTTTGTTTCCACATCTCTGCTTATACTATGCATATGTTTGTACATGTTGTCTACCTTTTTCATTATAGCACTTAAAATATTTATCATAGTTATTTTAAATTTCCTTTGTGATAACTTCAAAATCTTTGTCTTACCCTGTTTCTGATGCTTGCTTCCTCTCTTCAGACAGGGCTGGTGTGTTACCTTTAGCATATTTTTTGGTAGAAAGCCAGACAAAATTATTACATAATAGGAACTAAGGTAGATAGGTTTTTAGTGTGACGTTTTATGTTGTTTTGGCAAGAAATTAGACTGCGTTTACTGCTTTCTGTAGCTATCATGTCAGTGGCGAAAGTTTTTTCTAGTAATCTTGTTTTGTCTCCCTGCTTATGTTTGGATTTTTCAAGAGATATCTTAAATGGATTGAGGCTTGCAGTTCTTTTAGCTGTAATCTGTTACTGTACAGGAACCCTGTCGATGTGGTCGTAAACTGTGTGACAAGGGGAGGTGTACTGTAGACCTAGGTATTAGGTCTTTTGGTAATTAGGTATTAGTCTCGTAGTAATCTTTAGTTGGCTATTCCTCTTCCCCAATATCAGCGGTTAAAGGGGGCTACAGTTGGGAATATCCCTTCTCTCAGATAGGTAAGTCTTTGGTAATCCCCCAATCCGCTTTGATATACAGTTTTACCTAAAAATGAGCCTTGTTAAGGACAACAGGGAGCTCTGAGACTACTTCCAAGTGGTTACTTTTCCCTCCCCCAGCCAGAAACAGGAAAATATTTTCTTCAACAGTTACCCTGAGAACTGGGTAGGTTTCTGGAAGTAAAACACACAACGGTGTGTCTTCTTGCCCCTTCAGAGCTTTTAACTGTCAAGGTAGGTTACACTGAGCCTTTTGCAATTAATACATTACATTTTCAAGTGCTCTTACCGATACTGGTTCCAGCTGTGGGCTTCTGCTCCTGGGCTGCTGCTGTGAATAACCTATTAATTTCTGTATCTGTCTGTCTGACTAAACAGGTTTTAGGACAGCAGTTTGCCCTGCAACTTTATCTGATGGATCTAAAGATAATCGATTTTTATTTTGCTTTGCTTTTATTTTCCTTGTTGTGAAAGTGGGAGTAATGGTTTCCAATGCTCTTATGTGTTAGACTAGAAACTGAAAGGCCCTGGCTGTGTTTGTTTGTTTGTTGAAAAAGAAGGTTTTCTTTCTGTTTCAATATTCTCTGCAATTATAATTTTGAATTAATCAAGTTTATGGCAGAAAAAAATACTTTCTTTTTAAATTAATAACCTCTCTGTTTATTTTTCTCAAATTATTTTTAGTATAGTTTTATTCCCTTGGAAAAAATATCCAGCTACAGTAATCAATACATTTATTTAACCATTTGTAGTGCATTCCTGAATTATTTTTGTAGAAATGTTAAATGGAAACATCCTTAGTATGGAATGTTTCTAAAAGAAGGATCATAAATCATTTCTGAAACTCACCTACTGGTTGTATAACAATAAAATATATGACATGATCTAAATCAGGGGTTTGCAAACTATGACCCATAAACCGAATCTTGCACATCAGTTGCTTTTATAAAGAAAATGTTCTTGTAATACAGCCAACTTATTTGTTTACATATTGCCTATTGCTGCTTCCACATTATGGTTTTAGAATTGAATATTTGTGACAGAAATTGAATGTTCCCAAAAGCCTAAATTATTTACTGTTTTCATGTTGAAAGACAGAATCTGTTTGTCCCTTAAATAAATAATAATCATCACTAAGCACATAAAGGTTTCTAAAAGAATTAAACTGAAATTAAAAGTAAGTTGTCTTAAGCTTGAGTTGTCACTTCAAACTTTGTTATATCAGTATTTTCAACATTCCTTAGACTATATATTGTGCACATTTAAAAAGCTATAGTAGAGCAAACTAGTTATAAAAAAACTTAAAACTATTACCAATTCAAAATAAAATAAATGTTATATAACATGAAGAATTTTATAAATGTTGACATTCTCAAAGTGTAAATATTTTGTGTGTAATTGTCAGAAATTTAGCTACAGTTTCTTCTCTCATTTACATCTGCCAAATTTGCTAAAAATGACTATTGGTTTATAGTTTATATCACAGCTGCTGAAATTTATTTTTTATAGAATGGCTATTTTTCTAGCTTTTGGCACCATTAGTTTTGTAAAACTAACTGAGCTTTAGTGGCTTTAGTGTGACAGCACTTGAAACTTGTCATAGGAAGGTTAAAATCTTAGTTACCATGGCATACAGCATTTCTCACATGTTTAACATATTCCTATTTTTGATGTTAGATACAAGAAAAACAAGGAAACCAACTAAAACTAGAGCTCTCAAAAAGAAATAGAAAATTACATATTGACTCCACATTTTGAAAATATTCCAAATAGACATTCATTTAAACTCTTGCACCCAAATTTTTAACAATACACCAATATTTACTTTAAAATGTCATGAAAAGATAATTCTTTTTTTTGGGGGTGCATAGCCTTCATTTATTTTGTAAAGGCTCAAATGATGGTGGGGGGACTACCTTTATAAACTGGAGAGAAGTTTCCATCACCCATGGAGGACCCCAGTGTTGGTTCCCATGCTGCATCTTTCTGAAGATATCCGAATGGTTGATAACCTTGTTTTGCAAACAACATTCAGGAAAGAGTAAGTTGCTAGGACTGCACTATGAATCACTAGTGAAGATGCTGGATGTAGAAATCTTTGCTGCCGGTTGAATGCACTACTCATCTGACAATACTTTCTTTCAAATAAAGTCTTCTCCCATGTTTACAAATTGCACAACTATTAGAGGTAAATAAAATTTAATACTTTTGCTTCTAGCTTAAAGTGAGAAATGTAGAATTGTGCCAAAAGCTGATAATCTCTTCTTGGCTGGTTCAGTGGGAGTGGTTTAGAAGTAAGGTCTCCAGTCTTTCATAACTAGTTTCTTTTTTATGATTTTCCTGGGAATTTCCAGTTCCAGATATTTTTATTTTATTTTATTATTATTATTATTTTACTTTAAGTTTTAGGGTACATGTGCACAATGTGCAGGTTAGTTACATATGTATACATGTGCCATGATGGTGTGCTGCACCCATTAACTCGTCATTTAGCATTAGGTATATCTCTTAAAGCTATCCCTCCCCACTCCCCCCACCCCACAACAGTCCCCAGAGTGTGATGTTCCCCTTCCTGTGTCCATGTGTTCTCATTGTTCAATTCCCACCTATGAGTGAGAATATGCGGTGTTTGGTTTTTTGTTCTTGCGATAGTTTACTGAGAATGATGATTTCCAATTTCATCCATGTCCCTACAAAGGACATGAAATCATCATTTTTATGGCTGCATAGTATTCCATGGTGTATATGTGCCACAGTTTCTTAATCCAGTCTATCATTGTTGGACATTTGGCTTGGTTCCAAGTCTTTGCTATTGTGAATAGTGCCGCAATGAACATACGTGTGCATGTGTCTTTATAGCAGCATGATTTATAGTCCTTTGGGTATATACCCAGTAATGGGATGGCTGGGTCAAATGGTATTTCTAGTTCTAGATCCCTGAGGAATCACCACACTGACTTCCACAATGGTTGAACTAGCTTACAGTCCCACCACCAGTGTAAAAGTGTTCCTATTTCTCCACATCCTCTCCAGCACCTGTTGCTGTTGTTTCCTGACTTTTTTATGATTGCCATTCTAACTGGTGTGAGATGGTATCTCATTGTGGTTTTGATTTGCATTTCTCTGATAGCCAGTGATGGTGAGCATTTTTTCATGTGTTTTTTGGCTGCATAAATGGCTTCTTTTGAGAAGTGTCTGTTCATGTCCTTCACCCACTTTTTGATGGGGTTGTTTGTTTTTTTCTTGTAAATTTGTTTGAGTTCATTGTAGATTCTGGATATTAGCCCTTTGTCAGATGAGTAGGTTGCGAAAATTTTTTCCCATTTTGTAGGTTGCCTGTTCACTCTGATGGCAGTTTCTTTTGCTGTGCAGAAGCTCTTTAGTTTAATTAGATCCCATTTGTCAATTTTGGCTTTTGTTGCCATTGCTTTTGGTGTTTTAGACATGAAGTCCTTGCCCATGCCTATGTCCTGAATGGTAATGCCTAGTTTTTCTTCTAGGGTTTTTATGGTTTTAGGTCTAACGTTTAAGTCTTTAATCCATCTTGAATTAATTTTTGTATAAGGTGTAAGGAAGGGATCCAGTTTCAGCTTTCTACATATGGCTAGCCAGTTTTCCCAGCACCATTTATTAAATAGGGAATCCTTTCCCCATTGCTTGTTTTTCTTAGGTTTGTCAAAGATCGGATAGATAGTTTATTCATTCAGTATTTGCCAAACATTTTCTAAAGGCTGAGATTATCTAAGATGACAATATGTCACAAATTGTTAAAAAATGTATATGACGTGGTATAGAAATACTTACAAAGTCAGTATAACTAAAAGTAAAATAAATCATTGTAGATTTCAAAATATAACAATTCAAAAAATAAATATATTGCTTGGGATAATTTTAAAAAAGTGTTGGAAAGAACCCATTTGATTTATGCATTGAAGAAAAATTCTGGGGTAATATGACCAACATTAGAAAAGTATTGCCTTTTATTCCCCATTATATTTTAGTTATTAATTTTAGTAATGTATGGGATATTGGGGGAGTGTATCATAAACATGTACAATACTTAAAATTGAAACTCTTTAAAATTAAATATATTTGATTCTTAAAATTAAGATAAATTAGAAATAAATTCATTAAAAAATTAGTCTGAAATATGATGAAAATAATATAAAATCTATCTTCTGTATGCTTTGTAATAAAATTCAAATATATTATTATCCACAGATAACTTTAAAGATGGTATTTAATTTAGAATTTTTGAGATTATTGGAGCATCTAAATTACTAAATTTTAGTGTTGAAATACCTGCTTTTTAAATGTATTGTTTCCTCAAAACATATTTAAATTTATTGAATATTTATTTGCACACTTAGCAAAACAAAAATATTGAATGCACTAATACATTTTCAATATAATTGTCCCTTTTATCTTTTAATTTATTATTTTACCTATTGGCTATTTGGAACTGTATTAAAATGTTTTCTAGTGAGCTATTTTTAATTGACTTCCAGGTAAATTCTATTGTAAAATACCCAAAACACAGCTACAAAAATGTTTATAGTTGCATTATTTAGAATAGTCTCAAAGTATAATCAATCCAAATATTTAACAATAAAATGGATCAATCAACTGTGATATAATCATGAATGTATTTCTATAAAGAAGCATTTCTTAACAGTTGATCTTTTTGGCTGAATAATTTTTGTTGTAGGAGGCTGTCCAGTATATTGTAGGATTTTTCTACCTACTAGATGACAGTAGCATTACCTTCCCAGTTATTACAACCTGAAATAGGTCCAAACATTGTCAAATATTTTATAGGAATCAAAATCCCCTTCAGTTAAGAGCCACTGCTATATGACAACAAAGTAAAGTAATTAAATATATGAAAAACAATGGAGATAATTTTTATAAGTAAGTAAAATATTGAGCAAAAGAAACGGGGCACAGTCAATAACATAGTATGTAATTCCACTTATGGTAAGCCTAAAAGCAGTGACATTAATCTATCAACTACAGTCAAGGTCTTGTGTATTACCCTTGTGTTGAGGGCATGCTGCAACTTGAAGGGACATGAGTGGACTCTTATGGAATAGGTAATACTGTGCCTGTTTTTCGCCCCCAGTTCCTGATTTCATGAGTGTGTTCAATTCCAGAAAATTTAGGTATAATCTGTACTTGTTATTTGTGTGTTTTTCCTTTATATATTTTCTTTAAAAAATTTCCTTCAAAAATATAAAAATTTAAATTAAATTAAAATGTCTCTGAACTAATTATGGAAAACAGTTTAAGCTGCCTTCTAACCAGTTTTCATCATTTTTCTTAATAGCATATTCGAGTAACTTTGCTTCATGATCAAACATTGCAAAGAATGCTACTCACTGGATTTGGAAAAGTAGTTTTTGGATCTACTTCTTGTACTCTTCGTAGGTTTGAGAATTGAAATCTCAGGTGTGTTCCATTGCTTATCTTAAACACAAATGTGTGTGTGTGTATATATACATATATATACACAAATTGTGTGTATATATACATATATTCATATATTATATACCTATTACACATATATAATACATATACATATTATACATACATAATTATATATAATATATATAATTATAAATATATAATATATACATATATTATATATGTATACATGTATATATAAATATATATTATGTATATATAATATATATAATATATATTATATTATAATATAATATATTATATTATACATAATTATATATACATTATAATATATGTATTATATACACATACATATATGTATATAATATATGTATATAATATATACATATAGTATATGTATACAAATATACAAATATATACATATATACATATAGAAATATATACATATATTATATACATATTATATATGTATATAATACAGTGTGTGTATATATATACTGTAAATTAAATAGTATCTGGGATATTCAATTAAAATCACATAAAGTCACATAAATGGATACGATGTTGAATGGCTACCATTTACAGACAAATCAAGGTACTTGGCTACTTTGTAAAGGCAGAAAAAATAATTGATATGAGAAGCATGTTTTAATAAGCAGAGCCTCATCAGCTAACCATGACAATGTATGACAGATCACCAAATTTACCAGTGATTCCATGTGTAAGAATCTGCATGTTGGAAAACATCAATAATAATACAGAACTTGCTCCATGCTTATTTTAGAGCACAGTTCTATTAAATCTTTCCACATGATTTTATTAAAAATGTTTTGCAAATGTCATAGTAAACTGGTCAATAAAAAAGAAACATTTTTTATCATACATAAATATGTATCATGACTTTTAAAATTAATTTTATAACATTCAGTTTGATTTCAATGATATTTAATTATTACAGCTTTTTAGTTTCATCATAGGAGAGGAGTACTTGGATCTTTATGCAGATTTCCTTGAAGTAAAAGGTTTTATTTATTTTCATTTTTTAAAAATCTCATGAGGTATGTATGTTTGGTGGTTGGTTTTAGTTTTAAAGAGTAGGATAAATTATTTTCAGTGACTTTTTCAAACCACGTCAAATAATAGGTTTTATATTGTTTATTTGTGTTTCCATATTTTCTGCTTTCAAAATCTGTTTTATTTTTATTATGTTCATAAATGTTAACACTCAATTAGAATAAGATAACTTTCAATGTTTGTTTTTACTTTCTCTCTTTTGTTTCTACTAACAAGAACTGCTAGCTAGCTTCCTGAAATTTAAATGTCATTTCTGGCTATTACCTATAAGGTCTTTGGCTATTTGCTGTTAGCATTATGAACAGTTTGAGTTCATCTGTGCGTTTTTGACAAATTCTTTTTCTTTTTAAATCTTCTATTAAAATCTAAGCTTAAAACAAACTACTGAATTTAAAGTATCATGTGTATGTATAATTATGTATATTATGTATGTATATATTAGTTTCCGATTGCTGTTGAAACAAATTTACGCAAACTTACTCTGCTTGAAGCAACATAAATGTATTATTTTACAGAGCTGCAGGTCCAAACTTTCATTGGGCTTAAAGTAAGGTGTCAGCAGAGTTGCTTTCCTTCTGGAGATTCTAGAAAAGAATCTCTTTTCTTGCATTTTCGAGCCTCTACAGGCTACTTGGCATTCAATGGCTAGTGGCACCTTTCTTTATCTTCAAAGCAAGCAGCATAGCATATTCAAATCTTTCTCTTTGATGTATTCTGACTTATAAGGCCTTTGTTTATTATATTGGGCTCACCCAGATTATATAAGATAATATGCCAATTTAAAAATTCTTCGGTTAGTCACATCTGAAAAGTATCTTTTGCCATGTAAACGAATACATTCACAAATTTCAGGGATTAAAACTTGGTCATTATGAGGTTAATTTTATGTGTCAGCTTAACTGAACCATGGGATGCCTGGACAGCTGGTTAAACATTATTTCTGAGTGTCTGTGATGGTGTTTTCAGAAGAGATTAGTGTTCAAATTGGTGGACCAAATAAAGCAGATTGTCCTCCCCAGTGTGGGTGGAGACCATTCAGTCCATTGAGAGCCTAAATAGAACAAAAAGGTAGAAAAGGGCTGGATTAATTCTGCCTGACTGATTGGGCAGGGTTATCAATCTTCTCCTGCCACTCCTGTTTCTCAGGCCTTCGACACAGACTGGAATCTCTACTATTGTCTTTCCAGGTCTCAGGCTTTGAACTATATGTCACCAGCTTTTCTGGCTTTCCAACTTGCAAAGAGCAAACATGGAACTTTTCAGTCTCCATAATCACAAGAGACAATCTCTTACAATAAGTCTCTCTTTTACTGGAGAGTTCTGAAAAAATACAGATATCTTCTGGGGACAACTATTTTGTCTATCACAATACATATATATTTTAAACATCTCAACCCTGAGAAAAGCATAGAGAAAAATGATTTTATACTCTATAAATATCATCATGTAGGAGATATCAAATCTTTGAAGTAAACCTTGTTTGAAATAATATTAAAAATATTAAAACTGTCAGCTTCTTTCCATTCTATACAATTTTGAAAATACCTACTCTAGGTATAATCCTTTTTCTGAAGCTGATGTGCATATCTCACATCCAGGCTGCATGTGTTTACTATATATGCACGTAACAATATGAATATTTCTTGGTGTGCTCCAATTCCTGTCCTTTTGCAATTTGTTAAACATTATCTATATAATGATTCTAAAACTTACCAGTGCCATTATTCATAGGTCTAGTTCCTTTAGTATTTAAAAATGCATTATTTTCTAGTTCAACAATATTTCACAGGTTAGTCTATTTCAATTTTGAGGAACATTTTTTTTTCTGAAATTCTTGTCTTTATTAACAACCTTCTACAGAATATCCCTATATAGGCCTTACTTTCATGAGGGCAAAAGTTTTATCTAGGAATTGTAGGTATAAATAAAGTTTCTGCATCATATGTCCATATGATCAAACACAATGTACTTCATCAGCGTTGCAAAATATTGCAACATATGTATTTATTGTAGAAATTCATTTTGATTTAAGTAGTTACTATTATCATTTAAAGGGGAGAAGGAAACCTTGGCCTGACTAAAGGGAACGATTGCATGATAGAATCTCAATTATTACTTGAGTGTGTTCTTTTGAAAACACCTCCCAGGTAGTTGTGTGCCAAAAAAAATGTTCACTAACTTGTCTTTAATCTCACTTTTGGTAGGCTCTATAAGGCACAATTTTAAAAAGGTGAAGGAGAATTAATCAAATCAACATCAATTTCACATTAAGATGAAATGTTAAATAATTTATGTGCAGGGTAATCTTTGAAATGTTGGAACTTTATGAAAATATTTTTTCTTCTTATCTGATATATTTTTTAACATGTACTATAAGACTCAATGCCTAAAATAATTACAGATTACCACACACAGATTAATTTAATTTGGGGGCACGATATTAAGAAATAATATGTTAAATATAAATATATGTTCTGCAGTTTCTAAAATGCTCCATAAAATAGATCTCTGGCTAGGAGCTTCCTGTATTTCTGTAATAACTTATTCATGAAAGTATTTGAGTGTGTGACTGTTGATAATGAAAGTGGGTTCAGAAGTCCCTATTGATTATAACATTTAGTCTCTTAGTATGCCACAGAAACTGACTTCCATTCAAAGAATGAATTTCCAGAAAAATAAGGGCAGTGAACTGATATTCATGGGAATCATAAACTAAACTTATATCCCACCTCACTGAGATGCAGCTGGTCTTTGAGTTTGGAGTGATGTTTTCTTTGTAACTCACTTGTATACCGGTTGGGGACCAACAATATGTGAGATTGGGATCCTGTCCTAAACAATATGTAATATACTCTGTATTGCTAATCAATACATAATATTCTTGGAATAGACAGTAATCTTGTCTGTTGAAGCAAGATGTGGAAAGGCTAGTAGAACCTCTTACTGTGACACCTAATGCCACATTTGCAAAAATCAGCTTTTATGATTTGTCTCTGTTTAGAGTTCTTAGTATTTATAAGTAGAAGGCTTTCTCATAGACAGCATAATACTTTTCCATCATTCTTTTTTCTGCTACCTGGGTGTTTCAGGCTTCTCATGAGACTAAAGAAATGGGTAGTTAAGTTGTTATTTTTCTTGATTATCTACATAAAAAATATTACTTCTGTAGCTGGAGAGCTGGAAGCCTATTATATAGCACCTCTTAGTAAAATGTTAATAGAAGACCACAAAAGCTTCGTCAGACAGAAGAATACATTTATACCAATTTGTGATGTATGTTAAAATAATCTTGTATTTCCTTGATGATGTCCTTATTTTCAGAAATACTTAAAGTATGCAATTGAAATATATGTTGCATATGTAGGCAAATAAGATATGAAATTTTTATTTAATAATATATTCTAGACTGGGCGTGGTGGCTCACGCCTGTAATCCCAGCACTTTGGGAGGCCGAGGCGGACAGATCATGAGGTCAGGAGATCGAGACCATCCTGGTTAATACGGTGAAACCCCGTCTCTACTAAAAAAATTCAAAAAAATTAGCGGGGTGGTGGCGGGCACCTGTAGTCCCAGCTACTCGGGAGGCTGAGGCAGGAGAATGGTGTGAGTCCGGGAGGCGGAGCTTGCAGTGAGCCGAGATTGCGCCACTGCACTCCAGCCTGGGGACAGAGCAAGACTCCATCTCAAAAAAAAAAAAAAAAAAAATTCTAAATGGAAACACTGTATATCAGTAAGTTCAGTTAATTGAGAGGAACAAAACTGCCACATAAACTGTCAAATCTTTACAAACCATAATGATTCATTTATAATTACATAACAGATCAATATCTGTGAATACATCATTAGGCGTTTCATGGAGATGCTGCAGTTCTGACTTAATATTGCCCCTCTCCACATTATTTATTCTCCATGGCGTCTTGAGGATTTTGGTAGTAAAAGAACTCTATAGTTTTCTGTTTCACTTTAATCATCAACTCCAAGCAAGCCACTAACGATAGTCATCTCAAATATTCAAAGTTAATGAAAAGTTGTACTTCGCACCATTTAATAAACTCTAATTATTAAATCAAAGATTAGGCACAGACTATTTTAAAGTACTAAAAGATGGATGAAATTAAACATAAGAAAAAAGTGACACAAATCTAATTGAATTGTCACTTTGGCAATGAGATGTGACCAGCAATACATAGAGAAAGTGGCACGTTTTCAATTTCAGTATAGTTATAATGAAAAAATAGCACGGAAATGAGGAGCTAAAAATATTAGACAAATAGACTTCCTGGGAATAAGCATCTACAAGAGATGACATTGTGTTTACTCATTCTAGAGTATCACTGATAAGCAACCTTTGAGTTTCCTGAGTATGTTGTTTCTTTAAACACATTTAGAACTTAGGAGTAAAATGAAAGATTGCATATAGGCTAATAAAATATTAACTAAATGTTATGTGACTAAATTGAGAATAAATACAATTCCAAATAAATTGGTTATACTGACAAAAGACAAACAGGATATTACTAATACAGAGACATGCATACTTTATGGAAGTTTGTCTTAGAATTTAAGTTTCTTGAAAAAGAAAAATTTAAATAATATTTTGAAAATATGTGGTTGAGAGTCAAACACTACAAGTATATGATAGGAAAGATAAAATGTGCTTAAGTAATGACATATTACTTGAGATAGAATTAGCGATATGGCCTTTGACAAATAGGAATGTGAATACTTTAAAGAACTGGACAAAACCATTTTTATCTTTGATTAGAAGTTGTAACCTTATGAAAGAGGCAATTAAGCACCATAGGAGAGTTGAGAGAAGCAGATGCCTTGACAGAATTAAACTACCACTTCAGGAAAATTCTTGATATTTATAGTACATTTGAGAGGGAGAAACTGGTAAAGATATGACAATTATGCTTCAGGTAACTAAAACATCAGGATAAAAATTTAAATACTGTTAGGATACCCACTATAATATAATATAATGTAATGTAATATAATATAACCATGATTATTAATTTAAATAAATGAGGTTAATAAGATACATAGATGTTTTGTGGGAAACATAATATAAATAGGGTAAAAGGTAGCAGAATGCAGAGATGCAAATACTTATCCAGAGTACTATGTCTCATATTCATTAAAGAAATAGGTATACTTCTCTTGTATTCAGAGACATCATCATGATGGATTAGAAACCTTGTGCCAATTTCAAAAGCTGAAATTTCAGTTGTCTTTAAATGGTTATATTTGTTAATATATGGCAGCTATATTAAGGGAAAAGAAATAAGAAATTATATTATTCCAAAATAAAGTTAATTAAAAGATGAGATAAATGAATAGTTGCATTCTCCTAGTCCTTTATGAATCATGGAGATTTCCAGTTTCTGTGGAAAAGCCTAGTCTTGTCTTCTCTTCCAGTTACTCAGCAGTCATAGGAACACTATTGAGATGACACCTGCCCATTTACAGTTGCCTCAGAAGCTGGTAGGGATTCTGTGCTTCTGTGATCTATCTATCTTGTAGCACCATGCAGATGATCATAAACATTTTCTTTCAGAAAAAGATGCAGAAACTAAGGGGGAAATATTTTCTGTGAAGCATTTCATATGATCTTCTCTTCTTGAAAATGACTATGTCCCCTTGTACATTGCAAAGCCTTGTAGATAACAATTCACCTACAAATTAGTAGAGCTTTAGAGCTTCTCCACTGCACTCAAGGAGAAGAAACACTCTCAGTATATTCTTTATAATATAAATGATAGACAAATCCCCCATCAAGTTCCTACTTCAGTAAAATAAATAGAGTAAATGTAATTCTGTAAAGGCCTAAACCATGTCACCCCCAAAGGCTGTTTACATAGATGTTTAAACCAAATATTGGAATGAAAAAATAATTTTTACATACTTTCTTCATATAGATGTTGAAAAATGTAGCATTAATAAGTAGTAAGTTGACAAATTTTGAGGCTTACTAGTCTCTTCATCTATTTCTATCAAAAACCCAACAAATAAAAATTTGACTTGGGGGTGAATAATTATATAAAATGATAATAATATATTTATTATATAGATCAAATTATAAAATAAAATTAAACTGAATTGAAAAAAGGCAAAAAATTTTTAAAATTAAAATATACATTTTAAATTATATAAGGGTTACTGAAAGTAGCTTTATTTTTAAACCTGATAAGTACGTAAAATGAATGCATTCTTTGTGTTTTTTAGAATGAAAATGTAATTTATCAGAAATAGTGCATAGACATTTCTGAAATATAAAGAGGAAATATGGTTTTGTTGCAATAGCCTCTTCTACTTGGTTTAGCTGTTTTAAAATACATTGGATTTTAGAACTTGTTTATTATTTAGGCTGAGTAAGGTTTAATTTACATTAGCTTTATGTTCTTGTAGAAGAGTGGGTTATTTGTGACCAAGGAATCCATTTATTACTGATTATACCATTGATTTACTGTGTGTCCCTGAACAAGGCAATTAACTTCTTTCTGACTCTGTTTCTTAATTTATATGCTACAGGTGACACTATTTTGCAGAAATGGTGAAATAAATTTTAAATTTCCAATGAAGAAGAAACTAAGGGGGACAGAGGGTACAATTTGATAAAAATCTGGTCATCTGTTTTTAAATGCTAACTTTTAAAGTCTGTGGTAGCTGCATAACCTAGCCAGATGCTTCAGTCTATAGAATGGTTAATAGCAAGCACTAGAGAATTTAAATTGAGTAATATATCTAATTCTTCTTTTCTAACAAGGAAGAAATTCCATTTACTTGTGATGACAGTCATGTCTCATGAACATTAGCTGGCTTCCACAGAGTAGTAAGGATACAATATAATGCCAATCTGAGCAGAAAATAGGTTAGAAATAATTTGTTCTCTTTGTACCATAGAAAGCTATGAAAAAAGCAATGCTACTGGTCTTCAGCTTTATAGGGTTCACATTAGATGTGATTTGATATATATTTTGAATAAATGTATCTTCTTCAGAACCATTCAGATGCCTGAAATTATAATATTAGAAAATTAATTTTGGTATACATTTATCTAATTTAGCTTAACTTGTGGAACATATTTACAGACTGTCTAAATAAAACATCTATTTATGATTAGATGGAATTAAAGCCTAATTAATTTAAAATTGATGTACTTATTTAAAATATATATTTAAAATCATATTATTTTATACCCAACCATAAAAGGTGTCTATTCTTAATCTGAACCATTTATCTATTCAAAAATACAATGTGGTAGGTACTATTCTACATAGGTGAGAAAAAGAACCACAAGGTCCTTGATTAAATGAATTTATTTTCTAGTAGATTATACACATCATAATAAGTTAAATATTAATATGCATATTTATAAAACAAATGTATGTAATCATTAAAATGTGTTGGGTATATAAAGAAAAAGAGCAGGATGCAAGGGCAGAGAATGTCTGCCCAAGTGGAGAGAGAATCTCAAATAGAAGACATTTGTCTTCATGAATGAAGGATCAGGAGTCAGTGAGGGGAACATGGACAAGAGAGTCGTGTTAAAAAGAAGACAATGTGCAAAGGCCTGAGATGAACAAAAGTTGACTGAGTACAATGAACTTAAAGGAGATCACAGTGTTAAAGAGAAAGATGCTTAAATAAATGTAGAGAGGTAGAAGGGATGATACCCTAGAAGACTCTGTAGGTTTGAAATAGGGATAACAAAAGGTAGTTGCAGGAGGATAAACAATTCCAGGCAGTAGTTTCACATGACTAACAAAAAGGAAACGTTGAAATAGCTGCATGAGCTAGGGGCCAATAAGACCCTGAAAAACACGACGTGAGCCACGCTGGCTAACACCAATGGACCCAACATGGCACTGCATTTGACCTAGGTTTCACCTAGTACCTCATTATAAACTCAGTAAAATATTAAGCCACATATCTGACAATGCCATGACAGTTCCAGGAACACCCATATTTAGTATAAAAATGGGTAGTACCTGCTGGGCACGGTGGCTCACGCCTGTAATCCTAGCACTTTGGGAGGCCAAGGAAGGCAGATTGCCAGAGCTCAGGAGTTTGCGACCAGCCTAGGCAACATGGTGAAACCTTGTCTCTACCAAAAGAAAAAAATAAAAACCAAAAAAACAAAATTAGCCAGCAAAATGATATGTGCCTGTGGTGCCAGCTATTTGGGAGGCTGAAGTGCGAGGATCATTGGAGCCTAGGAAGTGGAGGCTGTAAGCCATGATTGCACCATTGCACTCCAGCAGTCTGGTTGACAGAGTTAGACTCTGTCTGAAAAAAATAAAAAAATAAAAAAAAAAGAAGAAGAAGAAGGAGTGAAGACTGCTGACTCAATCCCTCATTCATCTAATTTCCTTCTCAACATAGATACTGAAACTCTGTGTAGACTAAATATATTTTTGATCAGAAAAGTTTATATTTATAAAATATTCTTAACAGGATGTTTCTACTTAGGAATACTTAAGATTGCTTTAATAAAAGAATTCAGAATCTGTAGGTATATGGTGAGGTTTCCTGGAAAGTGTCACATAAACTATGTTTAATAACAACAAATAGGCCAGGCATGGTGGCTCACATCTATAAACCCAGCACTTTGGGAGGCCAAGGTGAGTGGATCACCTGAGGACAGGAGTTTCAGATCAGCCTGGCCAACATGGCGAAACCCTGGCTCAACTAAAAAAAAAAAAAAAAAAAATACAAAAATAAGCTGGGCATGGTGGTGCACACCTGTAGTCACAGCTACTTGGGAGGTTGAGGCAGGAAAATCGCTTGAACCTGGGAGATGGAGGTTGCAGTGCGCCGAGATTGCACCATAGCACTCCAGCCTGGGCAACAAGAGTGAAACTCCATCTCAAAAAATGAAATAAAATAACCACAAATAAAATGTTTTATAGATGAAATATTTCTATACCACATGGGGCAGCAAATGTCTGAATAAATGTCTGAGAAGAAAAGATGTAGAAAGCTGTCCTTGAGGTTCCAACCAGGCTTTTTTTTTTTTTTTTTTTTGTCTCTCCATTGCCTGTATCCTTGAAATTATTAGTGAAGCAAGATCTCTATTTTGTAAAAGTCTTATCAGATAATCCAGTCCTGTGTGTTGATCTTACTAGCTTATTTTTTTTCTTTTCATAATGGATTATAACAAGCACTTTTTCACACAAACTGGGGAAAATAGAATGTTTTGTAATTTTTGTTAATCTTCTTATAAAAATATGGGTAAATTTGAAATAAAAAGGTGGATGTATAATTCTAAGATATTTAAATATGATTGGTAATTAGCTGGCATCCTGGAGTACAAATTTGTGGGGTCTACATTCAAGGAACCTTAGCATTTTCTGTACGAAATTGATTTGATCAGTTAAATAGGTCATTTTTGATGTGTGAGATTAGCATATTAATCTTCCATTTGGCCATTATTCCCTCCACTTAAAGGATCAAGAGAGCAAACTAAAAAGCAACTAAAATGTTCTTAAAAGAACAAGTACAGATTCTATTGTTCTCTGGGCACACACTCACTGAAGTCAAATCCACTTTAATTGTGATTTCCTTTGACATAATTCTATTATTTCTTTAGATTATTTAGGTAATCTAAACTGATTTTTAAAGACATATTCCAATATTCAGTCAAATTAGTAGCACTTAAAGTATTAGTAACATTAATAATTCCTCAATACATTGTAAATAGTTATAAGTTAAATCCAGATGTTCGATTTTTTTTTGAAACTGATTTGTATTGCAACTAATTATAAACAAGACCAGTTATGCAATACATTTATAGAGTGAGTTTGGACCTCCATTTCCTGACGTTTAGGAAGTGTGTCTCTGTCAAATAGTCAGAATTACTTTTGACTCATATCTGAAAAGAGTTGCACAAATAATTGAGCCACATACACACAAAAATAATGTGTAGATCTAAATTCTTGTAACATGTTCTATAGCTTGTTTAATTATGAAACCATAGCTCAGTGACAGCTATTTGGAATCCTATTAGCCAGGGGTGTGATTCTCCAACCATGTTAAAAGAAAATAATATAAATTCATCTACAAATCAGCATGCATTGTCTTTACTACTACGTCTGCTCCGATGTGACCATGACATTTAATGAATGTCCTTCATCTCTGCCTTTGAGGGAAAGAACTTCCACATACTGCCACAGTCTCAAAAAGATGCATCTATTTCTATTTATTGTGAGACACAGTTATTTGTCCAGAGTGTCATTTTGGAATATGAGATAATCTTTGTTTGTTCTATAAAAGGGTTTGGAATTGATGGTAATTTCTGAGTTTCTTGATATGCATAGTTAACTCATTTGAAACCTGGATGATGTTTTGCTCAGGTTTAATTAGGCAGACTGACTCATTATGAGACCTAGTTTTAGGATTTCAGTGACAAAATCATTTGAGACAGGTTTGAGACTTTCTGTAGCTCATGTTGGCTCTTGTTGATTTCTTCAGGGGCAGACACTCAGGCAGGTTACACTGCAACAGAGCAGAGGTCGCAATCCCAACCTCAAGACAGAAAGGGAATTTTGTTCTGTGTTGTGGCATACACCTATAAACCTGTCGGGAATACCCTGTACAATCATGTATAAAATTCCTGCCAGAGCTAAATTTAGATTTAAAAAAATAAGACAAGAAGAGGGAAAAAAATAAACCCAAAAGTGTGAATTGGAGTTTTAAGGATGAGATAATAGAACAATCATACTTGAAATTACTTGATAATTGACTTTTTCTTACATGGGACTTTTCTAGTTACAATTACTATTAAGCTGATAATATGACATAGATAAAAGTTTATTTCTGTGGCATACTAGAAGTACAATCTTCATTTCTTCTTATGTCTATTTATATTACTTAAAAAAGAACAAAAATAGTACACCTCATTTCAGCTTTAAAACAAACAGAAATAATAATAAAATAATAATAATAAAAAATACTTCTTATCCGATGATAGGAATTATAAGAATGCAGAATGTAAATATCATTGTTTTATTATGTTTTCTTTAATCGACTTAACACCTACAAGGAGATTTGGACTATCTGTATGCCTGAGATTACTCCCTTACAATTTACCTTGTCCAAACTCTAAAATGGTGGCAATGTATTATTTTATGTGAGACAACTTTAAAGTGACTACTGGCCCCAGCACTGGATTTGGGGTTTACATTTTACTCCCACACAGAGACAAGTCTGTTCCAGAGTCTGGGTGACGCCTGTGGTTCCATTAGGAAAATTAAATGTCAGTTCTTCACAGTACTTTATAGATGTATTACACAAAACAATTTTCCACTGCCCCATGAAGATGAAAAATTATTTTTACAATATGTAAGTCATTCTTCAAATAAAATGAGAAGTCCAAAACCAGATTTTAAAATGTACAAAATACCTGTTCTAAAAACTAAAATTGAATATGCATGTGTGTGTTTGTGCAAATGTGAGTGTGTGTTTGTAAGTAACTGTGGGGAATCTTAATGAACTTACGACATTAAGCCTGGGAAACAGACCGACACTCCTTATCAAAAAATATATATGTATATTTGAAGGAATATGAAAATATACAGCATCCAACAAAGTAAAATTTGCAGTATCTGGCATCTGAGAAATAATAACCATATATGCAAATAAGAAGGAAAACATGACTTATAAGAAGAAGAAAAACATAATAAACTCAACTATCCCAAATATAGCCTAGATCATATAAGTAGAAAATACATAAAAATGGTTTTATAACTATGTTCCATATGCTGTAGAAGCTAGAGAAAAGATTGGGCATGTTAAATATAGACAAAATATTTTTAGAAGATTCAGATTCAACTTCTAATGTGAAAACTACAATTTCTGTTATAAGAAAATACAGTGGCTGGGATTAATAACAGATGAGACATTGCAGAAGAAATGATTAGTTTGTTTGAAGATATAGCAATAGAAAGCAGTAGCAATGGAAAGATGGAGGTGGATTTGGTGCAGAAAACAACTTGAAGGTGTGAGCCCCCAAAATCTGAGACAGGCCTTAGTTAATTTACAAAGTTTATGTTGCCAAGATTGAAGGTGAGTGCCCGTGACACAGCCTCAGGAGGTCCTGACAACATGTGCCCAAGGTGGTAGGGGCACGGCTCGGTTTTATATATTTTAGGGAGACATGAGACATCAGTCAATATAAGTGTAAGATGTACATTGGTTCAATCCGGAAACGTGGGTCAACTCGAGGCAAAGGTGGGACAACTCGAAGCAGGGAGGGGGCTTCCAGGTCACAGGTAGATAAGAGAAAAATGGTTGCATTCTTTTGAGCTTCTGCTTATCCTCTCCAAAGGAGGCAATCAGATATCCATTTATTTCAGTGAGCAGAGGGGTGACTCAATAGAATGGCAGGCAGGTTTGCCATAACCAGTTCCCAACTTGAGTGATTTTTGGGGCCCCAAGATTTATTTTCCTTTCACAAAGGAATAATGGTAAAACTGTTTCAAATTTGATAAAATTCATAAAAACAAAGAGTAAGAAGTTCTATGAACCTAATGCACACAAAGTATGAAGGTGAAGAATCATTGCACTGTTTAAAATGAAAGGTAAACAGAAAATCTAAAATGCAGGCAGAGAAAAAAAGACACATTAAGTGTACAGTAATAAAGAGAAAATATCAGCCAAGATTCTCCTTGGGAACAATGCAAGCAAGAAGACAGTGGACCAAGATCACTGAGTAACTGACACACACACATGCACACAAAAATCATCTCAACATAGAATTTTATAACCAGCAAAAATAGGTTTCAAAACCAAAGGCCAAATGAATACATAGCTACAAAAATTGAAATATTTTCCACTGGTAATTATGCAAAAATAATTCCTTAGGTAGGAGGAAAATGATGTTAATTGGAAATGTGGAGCTTCACAAGTGAATGAAGAGCTCTGGAGGTAGTAACTACATAGATAAATATAATTTTATTATGTAAATATCTCCAGAAGATGATTAATTTTTAAAAGCAAACGTAATAACAATGTCTTATGTGGTTATAAAGACTTAGTCGTAAAATACACGACAAAACTTAAGTAAACCCTTATCTGGAATAAAGGATTATACTGCCGTATGCACAGTATAATGAGAACTTTGTACTGTGTTAATGTTTTTATGTTATATGTGAAGTCGTATAAAACCACTTGAAGGTAGACTTTGATGAGATTAAGGATGTATATTATAAAAGCCAAAGTGGGTTTCTCAACCTTGACACTATTGACATTTTGGGATGGAAATTTCTATGTTGTGGAGGATTGTCCTTGGCATGGTAGGATCTTTAGCAGGATTCCTTGAGTTCACCCACAGTCACACGCCTCAGTGGATCTCAGTCATTGCCAAAAGACCCCTGGGGTCTGGGGAGAAGTTGAACAAGTGAGAGAATTACAGGCCTAAATCAATTAATGCTATATCACAATAAAAAGTCATAATACCTAACGTCAACAAAGGAGATAAAATAGAATTATAAAAATACAAAATTAATCCACAACTAGACAGAAAAATAGGGGAAAGGGAGAACATATAGAGTCAGCATGAATAACAAACAAATAGCTTCATGGTGGATTTAAAGACAACCATATCCATAGTCACAAAATATAATTAAACAAAACTAAAATATAATTAAATAACTGAATTTAAAGGCAGGGATTGTCAGATCTGGATATAGAAAGGAAAATCAATTACATGCTTCTTGCAAGTGATGTCCTTTAAATAAAAGATGGGAATACTTAAAATTTTAAATGATGGAAATATTTTCCATCATTTCCATTGAATAGTCCATATTTATATCAAAGGAGATTTTTGAGCACAGATTGTTACAAAGTATAAAAATGATCATTTTCTAATAGTGAAGGAATTTATTAATGAGGACACACAAATCTAAATATTTATGTACCCAATAACACTTCTTCAAAGCACATGCAGCAAAAACAGAACTTAAGTGACAAAAAGACAAATCAACAATTATTGATGGAGACATCAACAACGTTTTCAATAATCATTAGTAAAAGAGAAAAGAAAACCAGTAAGAATGTAGAAGACTTGAACTACACTTTCAAAAATTTGACCTAATTGTTATTTATAGAATGCATCATTGAACTAGAACAGAACACATATTCTTTCCAATGGAAAAGGAAGAAAGCATGATTGATCATACAGGCCGATTTATGTCCACGTAGAGAAGTAGTAAAATTTGCCACTATCCAAATTCTATTTATTAGAGCCTCAGAATCACGAGGTTATCTGCAACTTTTCCAATTATTTGCAGGGAAGATGATTGAAAATGATAAAATAGGTGGACAAACTTATGAAACTATTGAATAAATTGCATAGTAAAATGAGTTATTTGCACATAAGTGCCACATGCTAACCAACTGTGCCACTGAAGCTCCAAAATAAGTTCTTCTATCACAGGATAGATAACTTGGAATACCTTAAGTATCAAAAGTTTTATCTCTTTATCTCTTGGTCACTGTATGTGCTGTCACTTTTCTTTTCTTTTTTCTTTTTTTTTTTGAGGCGAAATCTCGCTCTGCCCCCCAGGCTGGAGTGCAGTGGCGTAATCTCGGCTCACTGCAAGCTCCGCCTCCCGGGTTCACGCCATTTTCCTGCCTCAGCCTCCCGAGTAGCTGGGACTACAGGCCCCCGCCACCACGACCGGCTAATTTTTTTGTATGTTTTAGTGGAGACGGGGTTTCACCGTGTTAGCCAGGATGGTCTCCATCTCCTGACCTCGTGATCCACCCGCCTCGGCCTCCCAAAGTGCTGGGATTACAGGCGTGAGCCACCGCGCCCGGCCGAGCTGTCACTTTTCCACAAAGGAATGACAGGAGGGGTTTTCCAGCGTATCTGTGCAGTGATAGGGGAACTCATTTCACTGGACAAATATTCATGAATTCTATAATGTTTTGATTTTAGATTTGAAAGAATAATGCAGCAATAATGAGTTTCTAGTGCATAACTGTTCATTTGAAAGTAAATAATTTTGACTATGTTTATCAACCGGGACACCAAAGAAAGCTCTACAAAGCTATCACTAAAAAATGTGTGTTCAGGTCGGACCAAACCAATTTTGTTCTTAGGCACTACTGCGAAACAGTTGTTAAATACTTACAGAATTTAGGCAAATCTATGACCTTGATTGTTATTTTTAGAGAAAGTAAAAAAATGTATTACAGGGTCTGGCACAAAGAACAACTGGTCTTTTTTTTTTTTTTTTTCCTATTAAGTTGGCCTAGAATCAGCGTTAAGAGAATATTGAGGAAATTTGATAAATAGGTGCCACAATCTGGACTCTACTTTTTAAACTATGTCTAAGGAACCTTTTGCCCATAGGCAAGATTATAGGACCACAGCTAATTTTTGTATTTTATTGCGTTATTTTTCATGTAGGTATATTAATGTATAAGTACTCTGTAATTTGATCATATATATATATGGAAAAATGTTCTGGAATATGTTAGAGTATTTTTAATGTGGCATTTCCTCATTGGAAGATGATTTCTACATATTTGATTTTTAGAAAGCGTACTGTAAGAGTAGATGAGCAGTCTAATGATAATGGTTCTATGGCAACAGTTAGACTTTGAGAGATGGGAATGTATTTAAGAATTGCTAGAAATTTCTACTACTAGGTCCTTCATTATTTCAAGGAATTAGCTGTTCAGTGCTAAAAGGTTTGATACAGATATAGGAAGATATTTTAATGTTTACCTAAACCTGTACACTACAACTTTGGTGTGTTTAGGGTGAGACAAGAAATCTTTGTGTATTAGTTATTTTTACAGCAGCATGGATTTGATGTATTTTTAATAGTGACCCTCTTGTTTCTCAGTAAATATAGGCTGGTAATTCTAGTGGCTCTTCTGCTTGCATATTATAAGGAATGTCTGTTCATAAGTTCACAATCCAGAGATAATAGAGGACCTCTTTTTTAAAATTTGGAAGCCAGTTATTTTATTTGATGAGTCATACTTTCATTATGACTCCCAGGTTGTTTAATTTCTAATGCTCTTTTGAAAATATTCGGCCATGTGTTTAAAATGTCAATTCCCATTCTACATGTTTTCCGTATCAAGGGCCTATTTCAGGTCAGAGCTCCCTTTCCAAAATGAGGAGAAGCTTTATTTTCTTTCAAGCACTGAGTTTCACTCAGAATTGTTTTTAAAATTTTTCTAAAATCTATTTTTAAAGTCATTTATTAATTCTTCTTTATTACATTTGCAAGTCGGAATCGTTCCTCTGTTTATTCTTAATGGAAGGAATTCTGAAATAGTTTTATACGGCACATACCATACTGTTCAATATATTTATTTGAATTATGAATAACTGTGTAATTAAAATTTTCTTTCTTTCTTTTTTTTTTTGCACTCTACTGCTTTTAAACACATTCCTCTCTAAGGTGCTAACAATTAAGTGAAGTATTTGATTAAATAAGCATTTAACAAAATCCTTAATTCAAGAACAAATTTCTGTCTTGTCTTCCTGGAGTTTAAAATAATCTTTAATTATTGACCTCGACTTGGCTGTAGACCAGGGTTTAAATTCAACATGTATAGATCTAACATTTGGTTCAGCAATCTTAGTGGAATATGTGCATTAAGACTGCTCTTTTCTTTGGGGGCTAGGGGAAGGACTAATGGAAGGAGAGCTTATTTACAGAGATCAGAAGAAGGTGTAGAAAAAAAACAGGAGAGATTGAAGTGAGAGGTAGAAATGAAATGACAGAGGGAGAAAGGCACAGTTTAAGAAATACGGTTTTCATATGGTTTGAGCAAGTGTGATTTTTTTTTTTACTTTTGTTAGAAAGTCTTTAAAATAACACTAGAGTGTATTGAACAGAGGAAATCTTCACTTTATATACTAAGGATGTAAATCAAAGAAAGCTGACCATAGCTCATTTGTATTTATTTCCCTTCTTTTTTAGAGGTTTTAAGAAATGTTTTTATGACATGCAAATCTGTCAAAATTGTTAGTCTATGTATTTTTATATGAATAAAATTTTTACATTTATATCAAGGTATGTGAAGAATTTCGACTTTTTAAAAGAGCTTTTATAAAGGATGGGATTTTTTTTCCCCTGGGAGACGAAGATAACATCCCTGTAGATGAAGCCGTAACGCACAGGGAGAAAGCCACTAATGTCCAAACTTGTATACTCGTAAAAGGAATCTCCATTTTCTAACTAAGCAGAGGCAAATTGTGATATTAGAATTAAAATCTCAACTGACATTAATCTAACAATACAAACTAACAAAAGTGACTTTTTTGTGGTTAGAGTGTTCTGAAGGTTTGGTGGGGGACCCAAGGCCAAGTTCCACGAATTCCCTTTGTATTAATTAGTCATCAGATTAATAGATTTAAAATATTAGTCTTTTGGGCCAACATAAGAGACTCATGAGATCTATGTCTTTACACACTCTTCATGTAATTCACCCTCACAAATTCAACAGAAAAAAATTAAATGTTGATCCAAACATTTAAGATTTTTATACAACTAGACAAACAATAAATAAGCATTGGTTGTCCCAGCCACAAATAACCTAGGAATATGTGATGACTACATTGATTCCTTAGATGAGATTCTGTAACAGAAAATGAAGATTATGTAAAAGCTAAGAAAATTTGAGTAAAGTATAAATTAGTAATATATCATTATACGTTCTCTAATTATAACAAATTTACCATATTAGAGTTGCTAATATGTTAATAATAGGGAAAATTGAGTAGGGTGTATATGAAAAGCCTTTGTACTATGTTTTCTGGTGCATTTTCTCTATGAATCAAAAACTATTCTAAAGTAAAAAGTTTATGTGACAAAAAGGAAGAATAAAAGTATTAACGAAAATATAAGCAGACGAGTAAAAATATTTACAAGTAGTGCTCTTCTGAGCCTAAGATCTAAATAATTTATACAAAAGATTTGCTTATAAATTCTAAGATAACAAAATAAGTTAAGAAAGATAATATTAATGAAAGAAGTCAGTGCTGAAATTGTGTTAGAGAAATTCATCTGAAAGCAGATCTGAAGGATGACTGGGAAACTAAGGAGTTCATGGACACTTTTTCTCCCTGAGACTCCCATGGATAAAATCAAAGTGATGGCCGTTAGAAAAATAGTGAAAGCCTCTATTTTTAATGCTCTACTATCTAAAGCAAAAAGCAAAATTTGTTGCTTCTTGTGAAAGGAGAGATGGGCTTGTAAGACAGTCTCTATGAGCAACGCAGAAAGTGCTGATCTTATTTAGGGTTTGAAGAAACATGAAGTTCAGGGATTGGCAGACTTTCAAAAATGAAAGCGTTTAGGAATGGTTGACCTTTAACTGTGGAAGTATGTTTAATGGCGTGTTGCTGTTGCTTATTGGCTGACTTCCAGAAGCCTGCTTACTGAAGTGAATTGTCATTGATTTGTGAAATAAGTGTAAAATCAGTTCCAGTGGTTATGTTTTACCTTGGCAATGAAAAAAATCATTCTTTCCTAGAAGACTGGAATCTTGTATTATCTCACCAAATAGGATACAGACATTTCATTATTTTACATTTTTATTTGGAAACAAATCTGCTGGCTTGTATAATGCTATCTGAGGCATGTTACATCCTGCAAATTTTCTGTTTGTGCCAAAGCTCTTTCAGAGTTATTCAATCACAGGATGTAAAAAGAAATATATAATAGCTAATAGTGTTTCCTACTAATGTTTATTGCATTTTCTCCTATTTTAATGAAAGGTAGCAATCTTCCAAGAGTGTCTCAGATAATTATGATCCAAAACTGCAATCATGTTGCATTTACTTCCATTCTGTTATAACTATGGATTTCAACAAAGCAATCAATGGAGTCTGCAAACAAATTATATCCTTGGTAAATGATTCTCATTATATTTAAAGACACTGTGAAGTGATAACAATACTATAAAATTTTATGTGTTATTGCCATTTCTTGAGTTTATACTGTGTTTTAAATTTTATGGGAACTATATATCACAATTAATCATGAAAATAATCCTATGAGATAAATAGGAAATGGAATACTATAACTAGAGGTCTTTTCTTAAAGAGTATAACTACCAAATTAGAAATATGAGGCTAGGCTCGGTGACTCATGCTTATAATCCCAACACTTCGGGAGGCAGAGATGGGAGGATTGCTTGAGGCCAGGAGTTCGAGAACAGCCTGAGCCACACAGTGAGACCCTGTCTATATAACAAATTCTTAAAAAATTACAAGGTGCATGCCTATAGTACCTACTACTTGAGAGGGTGAGGTGGAAGGATCACTTGAGCCCAGAAGTTCAAGACTACAGTGACCTGATTGTGCCACTGCACTCCAACCTGGGTGGCAGAGGGAGACTCTGTCTCTAAAAAGAATATATATATATATGTATATATATGTGTGTATATATATGTATATATGTATATGAGTTTTCTTGTAAGAGTTTTAACTAATGTGAAATTGTGCTTTATACTTTTCTTTATCACTTTATACTTAAATGTGCTCTAATTAATACTGTATTATAAATAACTTCCTCATAGTTTAAAATAAGATGAAAAATAAAGATCATTTAAAATTCAAGTCATTAAGCTGATAGTCAATAGTTGCTAATCTGGATGATGATAGGTTACAGATAATATTAAATCCAAAGAAATTTTGCATTTGGAGATGAATGGGTAATTTTTTTCAGGCCAAGATTTTCACAGAGAACAATTAGGAAAGCTGGACAAAATACAAACATATTATTTGTTTTAAGCTTTCAGAGATATGAAAGGCAGTGAGAAATTGTGGGGCCAGTATCTGGAAGAAGAAGAAAGTCAAAGAGCTTAATTTGGTCTGTAAGGCTATTTTTCCCCTAAGGCTAAAAAGCCAAGAAGAAAAAGTAACCACTGAGGATGAGAAGGTGATTAGAATTTTCATGTCTCTCACTTATTTGGAGTAAAACAACAGATTTATTTTAAAAAATCAAAGAAATGATATAGAAACAATAACAAATAAATAACATTTAAAAATTATAAATTGAAAGAAATCAACAAAGTCCAGCTCTAGGCTTTTGGACTTGATCTTAATAGCCATTCTCTGTGAGTAATAGAGATGTGGAAATATACACCCCCACAAAAATCAAAACCCAGTATCAAATTATCTTAATACTTATGAGTTCATTATAAAAATCTGTCTTTACTTCATCTGCCTTTCAGCAGTGAAAGTAAATCAACTCAGGAAAATTAACATAATCTAGAGCTATATGTTTCTTTGAATTTTTCATTCACATTATCTGGAATGCTGTATTTTATAAGAGAACATACAAGACAATAAGAATTAATTTTTGTTCAAATATGACCAATAATAGTCAAATATGACCAATAATATTCCAAAATGAGAAATTACAATAAATTACAGTTTCAACAACTATTACAAAGCTCGAGAGATTTTTTTTCAAAGTGAAGAAAAGTGTGACTAAGTGCAATGTAGAAAATCTGCTAAAAAGTTAAAACAAAAATAAACTCTAATTGGTATCCAAAAGGAAAAAAATGAGAGAGAAACATATTACTTTCCAATTACTTTCCCTATTTAGACCGGCAACTCAGTTTACAATAGAATAAAATGAAATCTGGATGATAATGAAGACATATCTTCAAAGTTTATTTTGAAACCAACTAACCTAGATTTTTTTTAAATCTGGGTTTTTGACATCTGCATATACCGATGGAAAAAAATAAAACACCTCAACCAAGGTGCAGTGCTTTCATCGGCTGCAAAATATTTCTATGGCTCTTTGAGGTCTACCCCTCTGTTCCTGACTAACCCCAAGTGACTACTAATCTGCTTCTTTGAATCTATATTAGTTTGCTCTTTATGTAAATGGATTCACACAGCATATAGTTGTGTCTGACTTATTTTATTCAGCACAAAAATGCTGTATGTCCTTCATTTTGTTGAACGTATCAAGGCATCTTTTTTTTCTTATTACTGAACATTATTCTAGTGTATGGCTAGACTCCATTTTGTTTGTTCATTCACTTCTTAATGGACATTTGATTTGTTTCCAATTTTGGAATTTTGAGACTAAAACTACTAAGTGCCTTAATATAAAAGTGCTTGTGTGAACATAATATTTTCCTTGTTCAGGTAAATATCTAGAAGTGAATTGTATGTATCTTGATAACTCAGCAGTGTCAAATCTAATTAATGATCACATTATATTTATTTGTTTATTTAGGGTATTTTAATTTATTTAAACATATTTGTAGTTTTCACTGTAGAGGTCTTGAGTGTCTTTTGCTAAATTTATTTCTGTTTCTTTTTGGTATTTTTTTAAAAAGGCTGCTTTCCAAATATGACGTTTTCCTATATAGCTTTATGTTACTGATTTTTTCAATTAATTATTTCATGGGTATAGGGCATATTTTATATAATACTCATAAAATTTACTGAATCATACATGCTGAGCTTACCAAATCCAAAAATGTGAAATCTGAAATGCTCCAAAATTCCAAAACTGAAGCCCCTTCCATTCTGTGACAAAAACTGAAAACTTTTTGAATACCAACATAACACTCAAAGGAAGTGCTTATTGGAGCATTTTGGATAATCAGATTAGGGACATTCGACTAGTTAGTATAAATGCAAATATGCCCCAATTTGAAAAATATTCAAAACCTGAAACACTTCTGATTCTAAGCATTTTAGATAAGTGATATTAAATCTGTATTTTATTTTTTGGCATATGGTTTATCTTGGTTATCATTAAGAAGTGATTTGAAACTACAGGAATTTTGTAGCTATGTGTAATGCTCTATAATTTTTTAAAAAATCTCCCACGTATTTAGACAATAACCAGGACAGCTGCAAATGATTTGAGTCAAGATTACTAGTGATAATGAAGTGTTGAAATATTTTAAGTGAATAAGAATAAACATACTACATATCAAATCTTATGCAAAGCGATTAAATCAGTAATTAGTAAAAGTTTATGGCCATAAATTCCCTTAGAAGATAAGAAATACTAAAAATAGTATATCTAATATCCCACTCAAAAAATTAGAACAACACATTTTATTTTAAAAAGTACAAGAAAGTAAATTGATAACAAATACATATTTTAAAATTATAAATTAGAACAAATCAACAAAGTCCAATATTGATTGATTGTTTTTCAAAAACTTAATAAAATTGGTAAGTTCTAAAAGTATCATCATAACTAAAAGGAAGAGGACAAAAGTCATCACTATCAAGAATAAAAACGTTTATCTATATATATAGAGAGAGACAGAAAAAGGTACAGGCATATCTTGGTGATACTGCAGGTACAGTTCCAAAACACTGCAATAAAGCAAACAAAGCAATAAAGCATGTCACAAAAATGTTTGGATTTCCCAGTGCATATAAAATAATTTTCTTTTTTTGTTTTTGCATTTTTTTAAAATTATACTTTAAGTTTTAGGGTACATGTGCACAACGTGCAGGTTAGTTACATATGTATACATGTGCCATGTTGGTGTGCTGCACCCATTAACTGGTCATTTAACATTAGACATTAGGTATATCTCCTAACGCTATCCCTCCCCCCTCCCCCCACCCCACAACAGGCCCCAGTGTGTGATGTTCCCCCTCCTGTGTCCATGTGTTCTCATTGTTCAATTCCCACCTATGAGTGAGAACATGCGGTGTTTGGTTTTTTGTCCTTGCGATAGTTTGCTGAGAATGATGGTTTCCAGCTTCATCCATGTCCCCACAAAGGACATGAACTCATCATTTTTTATGGCTGCATAGTATTCCATGGTGTATATGTGCCACATTTTCTTAATCCAGTCTATCATTGTTGGACATTTGACCTAGCAATCCCATTACTGGGTATATACCCAAAGGATTATAAATCATGCTGCTGTAAAGACACATGCACACGTATGTTTATTGCGGCACTATTCACAATAGCACATAAAATAATTTTCACACGATATTGTCTGCCAAATGTGCAATAGCATTATGTCTAAAAGAATATACATAATTAAAAATGCTTATTGCTATAAAATGCTAACAATCATCTGAGACTTCATGAGTCAATGATTTCGCTGGTGGAGGGTCCTGCCTAGATTTGATGGCTGCTGACTCACCAGGGTGGGGTGGCTGTGGCAATTTCTTAAAACAACAGTGACATTTACCACATCAACTGAGTCTTCCTTTCATGGAAGCTTTCTATGTGGCATGTAATGCTGTTTGATAGGATTTTGCACACTGTAAAACTTATTTTAAAATGAATAATGTAGTTGATTAATTCATTTTAACCAAAACACCTTGTTTAATGGAGACATCATTCCCACTTCCAGGGTTACTTATTTCAGAAAATTCTTGAAACTTTTTTGAAATTTTGACTTTTAAAACATCTTAGATTTTGGCCATCCTCAGAATGAATTAGGATTTAAGGTTCTCAAGTTTGTTCCGTTATAGGTTAGTCCTTTTTTTCCACATAGAAAGTATAAGTTTTATTAAAATATATATGCTAAAAATCGAGCTGGTAATATTATTTTTTCCATGGTAGATTGAATTTATTTATACACATACACAAACTCATATACATGCACACATCTACATTATCAATGCAACAGAACACATTATTCAGATCAATTATATTCTTATTTTCTTTGGTCTGTTTTATCCATGAAAATTTAAGAGAAGTGGATGAGCTGTATAAATACATCTGGTTTTCTGCCTTAATGTTCAACATAAATGCTGCTCAGATATAAATACTCACAAACATTCATTTTTTGTTATTAATTTTATGATTATTTTCAATTTTTTACATCTATTAAGGAAATAGACATCAATCTTAAAAATGTACATAATTGTTACATAATTTTATATAAAATAATTTTCAAATATTTAAGTTAATTTGTTTTATTGGTAATTAGCTCATAGTTTAAAAAAATTTTTTTTAATTCCATAGGTTTTGGGAGAATAGGTGGTATTTGCTCACATGAATAAGTTTTTTAGTGGTGCGGTGTTAGACTTTGGTGCACCCATCACCGGAGCAGTATAACTGAAACCAATTTGTAGTCATAATTATCCCTCTCACCGCTCTTACCCTTTCCCCCGAATCCCCGAAGTACATTTTATCATTCTCATGCCTTTTCGTCCTCATAGCTTAGCTCCCACTTATGAGTGAGAACATATGATGTTTGATTATTTTCCGTTCCTGCATTAGTTCACTTAGAATAATAGTCTCCAGTTCCATCCAGGTTGCTGTGAATGCCGTAGTTCGTTCCTTTTTAATGGCTGAGTAGTATTCCATCATATATATATATATATATATATATATATATGATGGAAATTTTGACTTTTAAAACATCATATATATATATATGATGTTTTAAAAGTCAAAATTTCAAAAAAGTTTCAAGAATTTTCTGAAATAAGTAACCCTGGAAGTGGGAATGATGTCTCTATTAAACAAGGCGTTTTGGTTAAAATGAATGAATCAACTACATTATTCATTTTAAAATAAGTTTTACAGTATGCAATATGCTATCAAACAGCATTACATGCTGCATAGAAAGCTTCCATGAAAGGAAGACTCAGTTGATGTGGTAAATGTCACTGTTGTTTTAAGAAATTGCCACAGCCACCCCAGTCTTCAATAACCACCACCCTGGTCAGTCAGCAGCCATCAAATCTAGGCAGGACCCTCCACCAGCGAAGGGTATATACATGTACCACAATTTCTTTATCCACATGTTGACTGATGGGCATTTGGGCTGATTCCATATATTTGCAATTGTGAATTGTGCTGCTTCTTTTCCTCTGGGTAGATACCCAGTAGTGGGATTGCTGGATCAAATGGTAGTTCTACTTTTAGTTCCTTAAGGAATCTTCGTACTGTTTTCCATAATGGCTATGCTAGTTTACATTCCCACCAGCGGTATAGAAGTGTTCCCTTTTTACCGCATCCATGCCAAATATCTATTTTTTTTTAAATTTTTTGATTATGGCCATTCTTGCAGGAGTAAGTTGGTATTGCATTGTGGTTTTGATTTGCATTTCCCTGATCATTAGTGATGTTGAGCATTTTTTTCATATGTTTGCCATTTATATATCTTTTTTGGAGAGTTTTCTATTCATGTAATTAGCCCACTTTTTGAGGGAATTTTTTTTCTTGCTAATTTGTTTTGAGTTTCTTGTAGATTCTGGATATTAGTCCTATGTCTGGTGGATTGGAAAGATTTTCTCCCACTCTGTGGGTTGTCTGTTTACTCTGCTGATGGTTCCTTTTGCTGTGCAGAAGCTCTTTGGTTTAAGTAAGTCCCACCTATTTATCTTTGTTTTTGTTGCATTTGCTTTTGGGTTCTAGGTCATGAAGTCTTTGCCTAAGCCAATGTCTAGAAGGGTTTTTCTGATGTTAACTTCTTTAATTTTTATAGTTTCAAGTCTTAGATTTAAGTCCTTGATCCATCTTGAGTTGAGTTTTGAATAAGGTGAGATATGAGGATCCAGTGCCTTTTAACTTCTACAATTTTATAACAGTGTTTCCTCTCTCGATATTCTAATATTAATGATGTGTGCCCATAAAGCTCATTCTGCATAAGTGGGAATTTAGTAAGGGACAAAATAAGGCTATATTTTTTGTGATTTTTCTTACTGAAATAGAACCCACAGTCTAGATATTTATGTGGTGTTTTTTATTGAAATTGCATTAATTTTATAATTCTATAGCAGAAAATAGCAAATGCATTAAAATGTTAAAACTTATGTTCTAGAAATTTTCCTCACTCAGCATTTGCTCTAGATCTCTACCTCTGTATTATAAAATAGACAGTAGCAAACATTCACAGACAACCAAAATATATAAAAATAATTAAAAATTAAGTACTGGAACATCTGTAACTTCAGGAGGCTTTAATATTATGTTGTTAAACACTTATGACATGAAGAAAAAGACTGCTTTGTCATTTAAGTACAGACAAATTTTTGTGAGAATAAAGCCAAAAATACAGTGGAGTTAATGGAGATGTGTAAGGATAGAAAGGCATTTCTCATAGATAGAAGAAAACTACAACTGAAAACAACACACAAATGGAGTACGCTAAAGGATAAATCTCAGTTTTTTGAGAGTATCATTCATATTGTTGACCCAGAATCTGGTTAAAATGGGAAGACAGGCCGGGCGCGGTGGCTCACGCCTGTAATCCCAGCACTTTGGGAGGCCGAGGCGGGCGGATCACGAGGTCACTCCATCCTGGCAAACACGGTAAAACCCCGTCTCTACTAAACATACAAAAAATTAGCCAGGCGTGGTGGTCGGCGCCTGTAGTCCCAGCTACTCGGGAGGCTGAGGCAGGAGAATGGCGTGAGTCCGGGAGGCGGAGCTTGCAGTGAGCCGAGATCGCGCCACTGCACTCCAGCCTGGGGACAGACCGAGACTCGGTCTCAACAACAAAAAAAGGGAAGACAAGGCGTCAGGATCAAAATTCATGGCCTTCATAATGTGGCCTTCATAATGCAGAGGTATTGGAGAGTGATCTTGTAAAGCATGTCTCTAGTTGGTGCTTAATCAAAACGCAGCAATAAACCTGGCCATTTCAAAACATCAGAGCTAACAAAATAAAAATTACCCATAATGCCAGCGCCTTTAAATAACCGCTTTCGCATTTTGTTTTAGTACTTGTTCATCTTTTTTTAAAGCTATGTATTTGTCCCACGATGGGTATCGCTAAGTTTAATCATTTGTTTAAGGTGGAAGTAATGTGTTTTTATTTGTAGGATAAAAACATGTGTACCTGGCCAGGTGCGGTGGCTCACGCTTATAATCCCAGCACTTTGGGAGGCCGAGGCAGGTGGATCATCTGAGGTCAGGATTTCGAGACCAGCCTGGCTAACATGCTGAAACCCCGTCTCTACTAAAATTACAAAAAATTAGCCGGGCCTGGCAGCGCACGCCTCTAATCCCAGCTACTCCAGAAGCTGAGGCAGGAGAATCGCTTGAACCCTGGAGATAGAGGTTGCAGTGAGCCAAGACTGCGCCACTGCTCTCCAGCCTGGGTGACAGAGCGAGACTCTGTCTCAAAAAAAAAAAAAAAAGTACAGTAGAAATGTATTTATCTTTTTTTATAACATTCCATGTGTCATCTGTGTGACTTCATCGGCAGGTTACCTCCTATGGGATTGTAATAACTGAGGCGCCTTACTCTGAAATCCCTCCCTACATTTGTGCCCAGGCTTTTCTTCCTATGGATTGCTCTCAGTTAATGACTATACATGAGACTTATTAATTCAGGCCTGTATCAGAAACACACTGGACTCCTGTGAAGGCTTAATTTGCCTAAAGATTCCCTGAAAATCTTGCTGAAACATCTGAAGTTTTATTCTAGATGCTTTCATCCAACTTTTCCTCCCTCTCTCCTTTACTCATGGTAGGATTTATATTGTGTTCTGATGGCTACCCAGCCATATCGTCACCTCATCATTTTCCCTTAAACAGGCATTTTCCGTAATAAAATACGTTTAAGACTTAATACTTTCTTAGAGTGTGCTTCCCAGAGGCAGTGCAGTGACGAATTGGTGGCTCTGCCCTCCTCACTTGGATTCCAATCTAGATCCATGTTTCCTACTCCTGCTTTTACCATAATATCTGTGTCCACTCAGGAATCAAAATGAAAGAGTGAAATATATTACTTTTAAAGCCTTTTAAAGCCACAACATGGAAGTGTCCCACTTCACTTCTGCTCACATACCTTTGCCCCCCCCCTTTTTTTTTTAACTTTTCTTTGTCTTATTGATAATAGATAAAAACAAAGTCAGGGAAAATTTCAAATTATCTGAGAAACAGAGCTCATATTAGTCTCAAACGGGAGAATAGCTAAGGTGGAAAGGAAAGGACATGTAAACAAAAAGGAAGGAAAAAGAATACTTCCATCTGAAATAACAATTAAACAAGGAGACAATAAAAGATAAGCCAGGTGCTGTAGCTCACGCCTGTAACCCCAGCACTTTGAGAGGCCGAGGTGGGGAGATCACGAGGTCAAGAGATAGAGACCATCCTGGCCAACATGGTGAAACCCCGTCTCTACTAAAATACAAAAAATTAGCCGGGCCTGGTGGCGCACATCTGTAGTCCCAGCTACTCGGGAGGCTAAGGTAGGGGAATTGCTTGAACCCGGGAGGGGGAGCTTGCAGTGAGCCAAGATCGCGCCACCGCACTCAAGCCTGGCAACAGAGCGAGACTCCGTCTCAAAAAATAAAATAAAAAATAAAACAGGTTTCTCTTTTTAAGTACATCAGGCGAATTGAATAATATGACATTACATATGTGTGATTTATGTACTCTATAGATATTTATTAAAACTAATATATGACTTATAAAATTATTGACATTGGTCCTTAATGAATTGATGGAGGAAATCTCTAAAGCACAATGGGATGTGTTAGAAACCTATAGTGTATAGAAAAAAAAGATGTCTTTCTCAATCTTGTTCTAACAGGCACTAACAATTGGGGATATATCTACCTGAGAATATTAGGGGAACCAGTGTATTCTCATAAGCAAGTCTGACAAAACAATGAATGTAACCTGAAATATTTAATACTCACATATGTGTGTGAAAGAAAAGGGATAGGCTGCCTATTAGGGGCTATCTAAAAGTCATTAGGCCCTTAGAATGGTTGATTTTGGAAACTGAGTCCTGGAGCGTGAGCTTTTAATTACTGATATTTTGTTATAGATTAACTGCTGTTTAAATTTATTGTTCCTGGCTCAGACCAAATGGCGCCTGAGATAAAAGACCCCTTGACTGAGATATAAGAACCCTTGATTATTACATCCTTAATGTGGAATATTAAATACCCTTACTAAGTGAAACACTGCCTAACCAATCAAATTGCTCTAATCTTGTGTGGGAAATGTTGAACTCCTGTTAAACTTCCCCAGACCTTGCCTATATAAACGGCTCTAAAACCAGCCTGATATGCAGCACTGACCTCATCTTTTTGGACTCTGCATATACAGACTCGTGCATATGTATGTATGTATGTATATATAACTATACTATACTATAGAACATAAGCAAATAAAATTTTCTATAATCTGTTTGATGTATTTGTATGATGTAGTTTTTAATTATAAAAAAGTAGTACAGAAGTAACTGCTAGTAGAATCTGTAAAATAAGTCAAACTTACATTCATCTGCTGTAAATTATTTTTGTTACAACCATAGTAAAGCTAACAAATAATTAGAAACATAAAATAAATTGATAATGTTGCTTTTATTGACTTAATGTGGGTATAATAAAATTTGAAATCCATGTATAATACTCAAACCCAAATTTATATCATTATATAACAGAATACCTAAGAGGATTGAGAGTATTTCAAGTAATACTTGTTTTGGTAATGTGTTTTCTTTTTATGTTTGGAAAACTTGAGAATAATAAAGAAAAAAGTCAGAAAATCCAATTTTTTGAATAACGATACCTGGAGTATCAACCACAATAAAATTATGAACAAAACCTCTTAACACATATACATATATAACATTAATAATAAATATGTGGCTATAACTTAACTTATGCATTTTTAGAGATTTAGGGATAATGAGTGTATATTTAATTGATGAATTAAGTAATATTAACAATTAACAATAGTAATGTGTAATAAAATATAATACTAATTTATTTGTATGTTGATTTTGACAATTATTAATCTAACAGATTAAATATAATATTTAATTAATAAATCCCTACAAAGTGACTTCAAATTAATTTATAAAATTGTTGCAATAATTATAGTATCACATATTAACTAAAATTGATTTTCAAAACTTGCATAAAGTGGAAGTAGCCAGTTGATTTTTTAAATTCTAATTAAAAGAAAAAATTCTAGTGATATATATATTTATACAATTGAAAATATTTCTTCTCATTTTTCCTATGCTGTTTATTTCTTTTCTTAGTTTCTTATGATAGACTGGTGCTGGGTTCAGTCCTTGGTTTCCTTCTATACCTTCACTCTTTTCCTTGGTAGATCATGTGGGTTTTATGGAATTATAGGAATTTTATGGAATTTTATGGAATCACTTATAGGCACAAAAATGTCATATTTAAATGTCTAGTCCAATTATCTTTCATTTACTCCATTTTTTAAATTTAGCTTCATATTCCACATCTCTGTTTTGATGATATAAACTAGACATTTCAAACCTAAAATGTCAAATAAAGCAAATAAAGTTTCTGAACTTTTGACCATTTTCTATTTACAATCTCAGTTGAAAAAAGTCATATTCCTATAATTTTTACTCTTCCTCTCACAGCCCATGTGTTAGCTTCCTTTTGCTACCATACCAACTTACAGCTTAAAACAGCACAAGTCTATGACTTAACACTTCTGGAGGTCAAAAGTTCAAAAGTGAGCCTTATTGGGCAAAATTAACAAATCAGCCGACTGCATTCCATCTGGAGGCAGTTGGGAAAGGCTGTTTTCTTTGCCTTTCCCAGCTTCTAGAGGCTGCCTACATTCCTTAGCTTGTGGCCCCTTCCACCATCACCATCTTTCAACCCATCATTGTAATATCTTCAAATCTCTTGTTCTTTTGCTTCATCATATCTCCCTCTCTCACGTTGACCTTTCTACCTCCTTATTATAAGACTTGCTGTGATACATTGTTTTTACCCAAATCATCCAGAAGTAAGTCCCCGTCTCAAAATAATTTGGTCACATCTACCAGTCTCTTTTATCTTGTAAGGTAACAGTCACAGGTTCTGAGGATTAGGAAGTGGACAACTTCGGATGGAGGGACATGATTTCACTTACCACAGCCTGTACTCCATATCTCAGTAAATTCTGTTGGTTCTACCTTAAAAATATGTCCAGATTCCAGAATTAATTTCTCACTGTTTTTTTTACTGCTATTTTTCTAGTGTGAACCACTGTGATTTCTCACCTGGATTCTGGATTATTGCAATAGCTTCATAATTAATCTCCTTTGCTCAATTCCACTGCAGTCTATTCTGAACAAAACAGCAAAATCAATTATTTTACAATATATATCAGATTACATTGTTTCTGCGCCCAGCAGTTGAAATGGCTTTTAGCAAAAGCTGTATCCTTAAAAAGGCTTACAGACCTGACACAATCTAGCTCTCTTCTGATGCTACCCCACTGTATACTTCACTGTTCTTGTTTCACATTAGCATTAACTTTCTTACCATGCTCAGCGAGGTTAGGTATGCTCACATTTTAATGCCCTTGCTTGGTTACACACTCTGCCTGGCATTCTTTTCCCCAGATATTTCAATGCTAACTCTTGTCACGTTATTCCATGTTTTTGCTCCTAAATTCCCTACTGATTGATAGCTGACTTCATTATCCTTTTAAAATTGCAATTTACCACTCCTATTCTTGCTCTTCCTATCTTGTTTGATATTTAACTTTTTTATAGCTCTTTTTATGATCGAATATGTCACATATTTTATCAATTTGTTATATTCATTTGCTTTCAATTAATTTTTTGTCTTCCCTAAAGAATATATGATCTACAAATCTAGAGATGTCTGTGTAATGTAATTAAAATAGTGTATGACATTTGGTTGTTTAATAGTAAATAATTGTTCAATAAGCAATTAAAAAGATGATTAACAGTAGATTAACATACAAAATGTCAAACATATATATTCTTATATATAGTACAATATATAATATTAAATGTGTATGAATATATACTTAACAAATAATTATAAATGATAAATTATACAAAATGCCAAAAGTAATTGTAACAGGTCTTTTGTGTGGAGTGTAAGTAAGTAACTCAAAGCTTGTCTTCTCTAATTGCATTAATTGGCTCATCCTGTGCTCCCTAAAGAAAGGAGAAACACAAAATGTTTGTTCTGAATTGAGAGTTCATCGCTCTCAAAAATGTTTCTTTTCAATCAACTATTTTATGTCTTACATCTCCCACACTCCGACAATAATAATAAATAAAATGAGTAAGATTAAAACTTGCTCATTTTTACCAGTCTGTCAAAACCAACAAAGAAAAAATGGAATCTGCATTTCATTTGGATAAATCTATTGCATGGATTGCACACATACTAAAAATTTATATGCCCACCTTTTGATGTAATTTACACCCATCCAGCCTACTACAGTGAAAAAGCACTGTATCTTTGCTTTTGAGAAGTACTATATATTTTGTAGGTTTCAGATTTTGTTACAAAGTCTATACTTATGCTTTCAAAGTTGTATTATGCTTCTGAATCACTAGAGGACCTTGTTAAAATGCATATTTGGCTGTAGTAGGTCTGATATGGGGCTTAAATTCTGAATTTCTAAATGCTCCCAAGGTATGCTTATACTGGTGGTCCATGGGCCACAGTTTGAGTATCAAGGTTATATAGTTAATGCCAATTAAGCAAAAAAAAGGAGATATCAAATTGATTTCTAGTTTAGTGTTTTTATTTACATATGCTAATACTGGATTATATATATTACATGTTTACTTATGTCAGCTCTGGAATTCTGAGGATTCACCGTAACCTACATGAGATAAAAAGGCAATTAAATGTTTTAGTAAACTACATAGAAATGTATTAATACAAAAATATGTTTCTTATCCTAATATGACTGTGAATTTATTCAGGAACATTCCAGAATTTATAAGAGAATGATGATGACCCATGTCATATTTGATTCTAAAAGTTTTTAAAGATTAATTCACATTATTGGTTATTCAATTTTTAATCATATACTCACAGCAGGAGGCCATTTTTTGCTTTTCTATTTTCAGAAAGAAATGCATCAGGTTTTTTATGGGGATTTTTTTGTAGTATGCTCAGAATTTTAAAGCAGATTCAACTAATAGACTGATATATAAACTATATTTCAAAGTTACAGGCTGGATATTAGGATAATCAAACTATAGAAGGAAGGTTTCTCTAATGTAAAATTTGATGAAAGATTGTTTTGCCTATATTGATTTTCTGACATGCAATTTTTGTTAGTGTTTACATTGTTTCTTCTAGTCTATTCTATTTAGAGGAAAGACATGAACTTACTGTGTGTAGATTAAGTGTTGCCAACTCTATTAAAATCAGTAATATTTTCTACCTTATGACAAATGAACTCAAGGTATCATTTTAGTGATATTCTTTCATTATCTGAAAATTAGTAACATACTTAATCAGAATTTAATAAAGGTAATTTTTCATTTGTGTTTTGAAACTTTCAAAGTTCCTTTTTCTATGCTAAAATAACTATGTTTTCCAAACTCAAGAAATGGCTTTATTGATTATAATGTGTGTGCAGGTGTTGAAAGACTTTGCCTCAAGCCATGTTAATATTTCTATTAAACAGTTAATTTATAATTTATATTGATTTTTCCAGTTTCTAATTTATAATTAAAAATTGTAAGTGTATAAAAATACAGTGATCTGGATATGAGTGAAAGATAAAAATTATTATTCTTAATATGTATTTTTTCAAAGCTTTCATTTATGTTCATATTTCTTAAATGTTTTCAAAGTTATCAACAACTTGACTGTCTATGTTCTTATATTTGATTATTTGCAGCTTTATTACTAGCATTTAGCTAAAAATCCATACTTCATATCTTGATACACAAAAATATAATCGATATTAGATTTTTTAATATAATCGATATTAGATTTTTTAAATCCCGTTTTTCTTCAATTACTTATACAGCAGTTTGGAAATGCTGTTGCTTATCCCTAGAGTTTCTGCTTAAAACTGTTTTACTTTCCAAATTCAGGTAACTGCAGGTGTTTCTCATGCAGGTGTTTGCCTATGGATAATTACTGCCAATCAATGTAAGGCACAGCAGTTCTTCTAGCAACAAAAAGTAACCCAAAGGGTTTTTTTCAGGAAAATGAAATGATAGGATATCCACACTAAAAATGCAAATTAAATACCAAGCTTTCAAATTGGAAACAAGGGATGCCAGGAGATTCCCTTGTGTGTACAAATCAAATATACTGGTTTGGGAAAAGTTGAGCAAAAAGTAATAACTGCTGAAGTAATAGTATGGGGATCTATGAGAAGAATGCTTTTTGATAAAGATGAGGAGAAAATAAAATACCATGGGACTATTTTAAACAATGCACCATTTGGTCACACGTGCCTACTTACTGTGAAAAAGCTGAAATGCTGGCCTACCTTTCTTTCTATATTTTTAAATAAAAAATGGTAGCATTCCTTTTATTTTTTAAATACAAAAGCTCACATCAGGGTAATGTATGCATTTTAGTCATGGCGCTACCTCAATATTCACTGAAACTTTGTTTAATGGGGTAGAAATTGTGTTACTAGGATTGGGGAAGGGGAAGAAAAGATAGACTGCATAGAGACATAAAATATTTGGGAAAATACCTATACATTGTGGTGAGCATTTGGAATTAATAGGTTAATTCTCTAATATTTAGGTGATCTTTATGAATAATTTTCCAGGAAGTAACTTCCAAGACGATGCCCTCTACCACATCACATTTCCAGATTACAGTGATCATCTACCTGTTGCAGAGACACGAAATTATATCTGGTAGAACACAAACGGAAAAGCCTTTGCAAGACATGTTAGTTAAATTCTCATTTGAAGAAAAAAGCTTATATTTCTCGGCATACATACTACTGAGCTGGTGTTAAGTGAACAAAATTGAGATCTCATGTCCTGGCAATAAACCAACTCTTGTTAGCTAAGGATGTGCTGCTTAGTCTTTGCATTTCAATGTCTGTTAAAAAGTGACCATGTGGGCCGGGCGTGGTGCTCACGCCTGTAATCCCAGCACTTTGGGAGGCCAAGGCGGGCAGATCACGAGGTCAGGAGATGGAGACCATCCTGGCTAACACGGCGAAACTCCGTCTCTACTAAAAATACAAAAATCATCCTGGCGTGGTGGTGGGCGCCTGTAGTCCCAGCTACTCGGGAGGCTGAGGCAGGAGAATGGCGTGAACCCGAGAGGTGGAGCTTGCAGTGAGCTGAGACTGCGCCACTGCACTCCAGCCTGGGCAACAGAGCGAGACTCTGTCTCAAAAAATATATAAAAATAAAAAAGTGACCACGTGGCCAGTCATGGTGGCTTGTGCTTGTAATTCAATGGCTCGTGCTTGTAATCCAAGCACCACTAGACAGATAGGTTGCTTTAGCTCAGGACTTAGAGGCCAGCCTGGGCAACTGTGAAACTCTGTCTCTACAAAAATTATACAAAAGCCAAGAATGAGAGAAAAGACTTAATATTTAATAGTGATTATTAGATGTAAAATTATTTTACCTCATTTAATATATATTAAATCACTTGCAAACATAGTAAACATATATTTAAATGGTTTATTTAATGTTCGACTTCATCAAACCTAAATATTTTTATTATTTTTGAGTTTAGATGTAAATAAGTATTTTGGCAATCATTGAGACCATGAAGTGCAATGCAGCAGGCAATGGGTAAATTAGTTCAAATCTACTTATGGATTTATTTCCAAACCTTTGATCTGCTCTCCTGCGGAAATTTTTTTCTATTCAAAAGACTCTAGATTGAATCCATGAATAAGAATTCTTATCTTTTAAAACTTCACATAATTTTATTTAGAAAAGTTATATATGTATATATGTGTATATATATATGTGTGTATGTATGTATGTAAATGCTGAATATTTACAGATTGTTGGGTCCAATTTGTTAGCAGTCCATCTAAAACTATCATTCTATTCTTTGGGATTAGAATTTGAAAATCATTTCTTCAGCAGTGATTTACACTTGTTATTTACTTCCCTTCGGATGCCAGAGTGAAAAATAAAACACACAGACAAAAATACAGGCACACCTATTTTGGGCACCAAGCTATGTGAGAGTAGATTAATGGTTAGAAATTTACAAGAAAAAAGGAAAACCCAAAAACCAAAAGACAGCAACAAACAATACTCCTGTTCAGTGCAAAGGCCAAAACAGGTGTTTGTCCACATTTTGTAATTGAAAATAGCATTCTATTGTCTAGTGTTGCCAGTGATCCATATTTATAGTTACTTTTTTTAGGTGTCTAGTCTAATTTGAATGTTGAAAATATATATTCTTTTAATTTCAATATAAGTTAAATTTACAGAAAAGTTGCAAAAGTAGCACAGAGTTTCTATATACCCTTCTTCAGTTTTACTTATTGCTCATTGTTAAAAACTTACATTATTATATGCCTTTGTTAAAATAATTAAACTGATATCCTACATTACTGTTAAATAAAATTCAGACATTATGTGGATTTCATTAGTTTTTCCATCGAGGTCTTCTTTCTATTCCAGCATTCTATCCAGGCAACCATACTATATTTTGCTACCATTTTTTTTTTTTCTAGTCTTAACTGGTCTATAACGGTTTCTCATTCTTTTCTTTTTTTTTTATCATAACCTTGGTAGGCTGGTAGTCATGGAAAGTACTGGTCAGGTATTCTGTGGAATGATTGCTCATCTCGTGACTAGATTGCACTTATACAAAATAAGTGAAGTGATCTTCTTGTCACATCATATCAGGAGACACATGATGTTATTGGTGACATTAACTGTTATCATTCAGTGACGGTAGTGTTTTCCACTTTTGTCTTCTGTAAATTTACTTTGTTTTCTTTCCCTATTCTATTTTTGGAAAGAAAATCACTAAAACTAACTCATTGTCAAGGGCATGGGGGACAAGATTTAAGCTCCATCTCCCCATGTCATTTGGAATTCTTCTGGAAAAAAGGTTTGTTTCATGTTCTTTACTTAATTGACTTATTCAATTATTTATTTATAGTGTTATTGACTCATATGTATGTGTTTTATACCTTTCATTACAATTCAATACTATTTTGTTGATCAAACTGTTCTAGCTTTGGCTTGGTTTCTATGTCCTTTTGGTATGCCTGTCTGCCTGCTTGCCTGCCTGCCTGCCTGCCTGCCTGCCTTCCTTCGTTCCTTCCTTCCTTCCTTTCCTCCTTCCTCTGTATTACTTCCTGGTGCTTCAAGATATTCCAGGCCCACTTGTCTGTTTCCTTAACCTAGTCATTGAATCAGGCATTGGTCCAAAAACTCTTATTAAAGAATAGTCTTTTATTAAACAATAGTGTTTAGAAACCAAGATCTGCATGATAGGTATGTTCGTTGCTCCTAGGGTTTTATTATTTTGGGCACTCTCAGTGGAGAAAACTAGGAAATATGTGTGCATACTAACCCACATGTACCAGTAGTTTCTGTTTTTATATTGTCATGTTTATATATTGTAACGGTTAATTTTATGTGGCAACTTGAGTGGGCCACAGAGTGCAAGATTAAACGCTCTTTTTGTCAGGGTATTTCCAGATGAAATTAGCATTTAAATCAGTGGAACTCAGTAAAGCAGATTGCCCTCTTCAATGGTTGAGCATCATCCAATCCATTGAGGGCCTGACCAGAACAAATGGCAAAGCAAGGTGAAATTTGTACTTTTTTTTCTTTTTCCTGCCTTACTGCAGGGATACCTCATCTCATTTTCTTGTGCATTCAGACTGTGATTTACATCATTGATTTTCCTGGTTGAGGTCTTTGGACTAGGACTGAATTACACCAGTGGCTTTTCTGAATCTCCAGCTTGCAGATTGCAGATCATGAGAATTCTCAGCCTCCATAATTGCGTGAGCCAATTCTCATGATCAGTCTCTTCTTATGTGGATATCCTATTGGTTTTGTTCCTCTTGAGAAACCTGACTAATACATATATATTATGTTAGACATGTTATTTGATTGTGTCTAACTCTAATTCAGTACTAGGTGATTCATTCTAGCCTTCCTTTATTATAACAGCCTTCTCTGACAATAAGAAACCTGAATCTTATCCTCTGACTTTTAAGTTGTTAATTTGCTTTTACACACACATATATGTAAAGCAGGTTCAGAATAGTTAACCTGCACTACTGTGAGGAAAAAATATTACCAACTGGAGTACAGTGTCAACATACAATTTTTTTGGTCTGTAAATATTGGACAAAATATAAGTGAAAATTATGTTTTGTTTATCCTGCTCTACACTTGAAGCAAGTGTGCTTACTTTTAATGTGAGGCTTTAGTTTATTCTTTGGTGCTGCAAATTTTTTATTGCTAACTCATCTAATATTGCTTCCCTAGTATGCTCACATTTTCCTTTCACTCAAACTCTCATTAGATGTAGGCAATAAACTCACAATATATTCTCCATTAGTCTTTGATTTCATTTTTAATACTATTTATCTGTGTAGGAGGTTCTTGGATAATTATTCAACATATGTTTAATCTCACTCATTTTATTTTTTTCTGCAGGTTTATCCAATATCGAAAACTTTTCATGTTCAAAATTTATGATGGATATTTTTCCATAAAGATATTTTATTTGAGTGAAATTGTTCAATGCCACTACTCTTTATATTTGTTTCATTCCTATTATAATTTCTGTAACTTTGCTTTTCTTTACATTTTACAACTGATTTATAGTAATATTGTTTTGCTTTGTTTTTCATCTTATCATACTCTGGCTTTCGGTAAATTTTCAGCTGCTAGCAACTTTTTACCAGAGCTCTTATAATATTATGGTTTTAATTTTGTTTTCATTTTAAAGAATCTATTGAAAAAAGAGAGATATCAGTAAACTATATTTATCTAATACATTTAACATTTTATACTTCTGAACATACGTATTCATAACAGATATCACAGACACAAATACCTACAAAATCAGCCAACTTAACAAAATCAGTGAAAGATGCTTATTGTGGACTATGGCATCTAAAAACAGGTCTTTCCATATCATTTCCAGGGTCTAGGTCAAGATTACAAGTTGAATTCCACAAAACATATGTTTGTTTGATTATTTACAATTGTAAAATAAATTAAAAATGAAAATAATTTAAGGCTTTAAAATTTAAGAAATACATTGTATTTTTTCTACTTTGCAAATAAACCTTTATAAAAACTCAGAAAGTCTTAGATGTATTAAGCTTTTGGGGTTTCAGATTTTACCTGATCGTGTAATCGATGAGGCTAAGTATTGGAAACTAGCATTCAACCTGCTTCTTAAGCTCTTTTCTCTTTCAACAATGATTATTTTTTTACCTACACATTTACGAACCTTCTGGGTCCACTTATGAACCTTCTGGGTCCACTTACCTTACACACTGGTCCATGTACACACTAGCTGACTCTATTCTTGGGTCAAGGGATGCTCACATTGGTGGTATAGTGCATTCTCAGGAACATGAAAAATAGGCTTGGGATAATTTGTGCATGGAAATATGAGGTTCTGACTTTTCTGTGAGGTCTACAAGAAAGAAGTATGGAATCTAGGAGAACACGCTTGTCTCCTAGACATCTAGGAGAACCCAGATGTCTCTGAAGTTTCTCACCTTGCTTGTAGAGATATGACTGTATGAAAGAAAGCCAAGTCAGAGGAGAAGAGGTACCTTAAAAATAAGATCCATGAACAACAAACTATTTGAAAAGGAAATTAAGGCAACAATTCATTTAAAAGACTATTAAAAATATTTAAGAGTAAATTTAACCATGGAACTGAAAAATTTGTATATTAACAACTATAAAACACTGACGAAAGACATGGTAGAAGATACAAATAAATGGAAAGCTATCCCATGCTCATTGATTAGAATAATTAATATTGTTAAAATGTCCATAATACCCAAAGTAATCTACAGATTCAATACAGTCAATATGATATAGTTTGGATCTGTGTCCCCACTAAATCTCATGTTGAATTATAATCCCTAGTGTTGAAGATGGGGCCTGGTGGGAGGCTATTGTATAATGAGGACAGAGTTCTCATGAATGGCTTTGCACCTTCCCCTTCTTGCTGTTCTTGTGATGTGAGTGAGTGAGTTATTGTGAGATCTGGTTGTTTAAAAGTGTGTGGCACTCTCCACACTCTCCCACCATGTGAGATGCCTCACTTCCGCTTTGCTTTCCACCATGATTGTAAGTTTCTTGAGGCCTCCCCAGAAGCTGAGCAGACACCAGCATTATGCTTCCTGTACAGCCTGCAGATCCATGAGCCAATTACATGTCTTTTCTTTATAAATTATCCAGTATCAGGTATTTCTTTATAGCAGTGCAAGAATGGACTAATATACCATATTCGAATTCTAATGTCATTCTTCACAGAAAATAGAAAAAAAATCTAAAATTTGTATGGATCCAAAAAAGACCTCAAAAAGCCAAAGCCATCTTGAGCAAAAAGAACAAAATGGAAACATCATGCTACCAGATTTCAAAATACCTTACAAAGCATTAGTATTCAAAACAGCACGGTCCTGGCATACAGACAGATACATTGACCAACGGAGTACGATAAGAAGCCTAGAAATAAACCCTTCCATTTATGGTCAATTGATTTTTAACAAGGGTGCTAAGAACATCCAATGAGAAAAGGTGAGTCTGTTCAATAAATGGTCTTTTGAAAACTGGATATCCACATGTTGAAGAATGAAAATGTAAGGAAGACCCTTATATAAGAGAGAAAGTGTAGAGAAGACCCTTACATAAGAGTCAAGGCCAGGCACGGTGGCTCACGCCCGTAATCCTAGCACTTTGGGAGGCTGAGGGGGATGGATCACTTGAGGTCAGGAGTTCAAGACCAGCCTGGCCAACATGGTGAAACCCTGTCTCTACCAAAAATACAAAAATTAGCTGGGCGTGGAGACATGTACCTGTAATCCCAGCCACTTGGGAGGCTGAGGCAGGAGAATTGCTTGAACCCGGGGGGCAGAGGTTGCAGTGAACTGAGATTGTGCCACTTCACTCCAGCCTGGGCAAAAGAGCAAGACTCCGTCTCAAAAAATAAATAAATAAATAACCCAAAAGGACTTAAAAACTTAAATTAAGACCCGAAACTGTAAAACTACAAGAAGAAAACGTAGGGGGGAAAACTCCATAATGTTGGTTTGGGCTGTGATTTCTTGGATATGACCTCAAAAACAAAAGCAAAAATGCACAAATGGGATTTCAGCAAATAAACAGGTTTTTCAAAGCCAAGGAAACAATCAACAGAGGGAAGAGATCACTTAGATATTGGAAGAAAATATTTGCATATTATATATCAGATAAAAGGCTAATATAGAAAATACAAAAGAAAACTACTAGAAAACAAAAAAAGAGACAACCTTATTAAAAAAACAGGCAATGTCACATCAGACTTGTTAGACAGGTTACTATCAACCAGGTGGAAGACAACAAGTGTTGTCGAGAATGTGGAAAACAGGGAACCCTTGTACATTACAGATGGTGTCTTAAATTAATACACACATTTTGGAAAACATTATGGAGGTTCCTTAGAAAAACAAAATAGAATTACCATATGATCCAGGAATCTCTTTTTTGGATATATATATGACGTAACTGAAATCAATAAGCCAAAGAGATGCCTGCACTCCCACGTTCACTGCAGCATTATTCACAATAGCCAAGATACGGAAACAAGCAAAGTGCCCATCAGTCACTGAATGGATTTTTAAAATGTGGTATATAAACAGAATTCAGCCATTAAAAAGCAGAACATTCTGTTATTTATTTTGACATAGATGAACCTAAAGGGCATTATACTGAGAGAAATAACCAAATATAGACAGACAAATACTATACGGTCTCATTTATATGAGGAATCTAAAGCCAAACCTGTAGAAATAGAGAGCAGAATAGTGATTACCAGACACTGAGGGCAGGGGTAGATGGGGAAAGTGGAGACATTCATTAAATGGCACAAAGTTTCAAGTCGACCAGAGGTATACATTTTGGTGATTTATTGCACAACATGGTAACTATAGAAACGATGTATTGTATATTTAAAAGTAGCTTAAAAAGGGTTTAAAATGTTTTAAACTCAAACAAATGATAAGTATTTAAGGTGCTAGATATGTTAATTAGCCTGATTTGATTATTCCACAATGTACACATATAATCATATTGTACCACATAAATGTACACAACTATTGTTCTGTCAATTAAAATGAAATAAAATAAGAAAAAATTGATCTATTGTAAGGAACGTTTCTGCCTGGAAACAAGGACAGTGACCAATAATGATGCAATTCAATCCAGTTTTTGCATTTCATGAATACAGGCTGAATGCTGATGTTTGCACTTAGGTCAGTTTATTTATATATTAATTCTAATTGCATATATTTTAAATCAGTATAATAATATGTCTACTCTTGAACTTTTTTTATTATTATACTTTAAGTTCTTGGGTACATGTGCACAACGTGCAGGTTTGTTACATACGTATACATGCGCCATGTTGGTGTGCTGCACCCGTTAATGAGAACAACTGGACACAGGAAGGGGAACATCACACACCGGGGCCTGTCATGGGCTAGGGGGTGGGGGGAGGGATAGCATTAGGAGATATACCTAATGTAAATGATGAGTTAATGGGTACTTTTGAACTTTATCATCTTCTTTGATAACCTGAAAAAGAAACAGAAGCAAAGTAAAAATGTGGGCTAGGCGTGATGGCTCATGCTTGTAATCCCAGCACTTTGGGAGGCCAAGGCAGGTGGATCACCTGAGGTCAGGAGTTCAAGACAAGCCTGGCCAACATGGTGAAAACCCGTCTCTACTAAAAATAAAAAAATAAGCCAGGTGTGGTGTCATGGGCTTGTAATCCCAGCTACTCGGGAGGCTGAGGCAGGAGAATCGCTTGAACCCGGGAGGAGGAGGTTGCAGTGAGCTGAGATCGCCCCACTGCACTCCAGCCTGGGCAACAAGAGCGAAACTCTGTCTCAAAAAAAAAAAAAAAAAAAAAAAAGGTGGATAAGGCAAACCAATTCCTCTCTCTATGAGCTAATGTTATACACATTAGTTTGGGTATGAAGATCAAGAAGGCACTAAAGTCAGAGGATCTATGGTAAATGTCATACACTAGACATGTAAATTACTTTGTTGCTATAAATTAATGCTGGATACTGCTAATATTTCTAATAATATATGTTTTAGTGTTATTTAATATTTAGACATGACTAATTATAATGAATAAATCAGAATATGATTTGTCATCTATTTTTTCCTGTCTTGACCTACTCACTGCAAAAATTGCTTTGCCAGTAGAAAAGACAATGATTCCAAAAACGTGTTTTATACCACACATAGAAAACACATTATTTGATAGTCTAAATGATATTCCTTTAATTATTAAAAAAAAATGACCCTAGGAGTTAAATGGTCCTTTAAATGTGTTCCCAAAGCATATTATGCATCCATAACATATTTGTATTACATAATATAACACTTTATATGTTTTTACATGGAATTTTCATTTTAGGATAATTTATTCTGTTTAATAGACAACTGTATAAGAGAACAGAAAAGTAAAATGTTTTGTTTTTATAGACTATAAAACATTTAGGATACTTCTTAAATATGATATCAATAAAGACTGCTAATATAAATTATTGTATATACTTCATTTGAACCCTAAGAATATTACTGATGACACTTTAATTGCCTTTCTAGGGCCATAGAAGTTTTTGGCATAAATCCAGGATAATTAAATGGTGAATTTAATATGGTGTTAAAATACAATAAGATATTTAGCATTTTCCTAATGTTCATTAAAAAAACAAGTTTTTATTGTCAAAGTTAGTTTAGTTATTGTTACTCATTCTGTTGTCTCCAGCAATAGCGTGGAGTTTGACTCAATACTCTAAAGCAATTATCATTTAGCTGAAATATTATGACTGGATTAAAAAAATAGTTAACCTACTGTATTTCTTGATTAATGAAAATGTTACTTCCAAATTTTTTTGCATGTAATTTTACTGCATGTCCTTTAGACCTAAAATATATAAAATCTAAATAAGTACCTTTTTACTTGATTATATTTTATTACTTAATATTGAAATATATGTCAAAAGATATATACAATGTCCAGAATAAAAATTAATACATATAAGGCCAGGTGTGATGGCTCTTGCCTGTAATCCCAGCACTTTGGGAGGCCAAGGCGAATGGATCACTTGAGGCCAGGAGTTTGAGACCGGCCTGGCCAACATGTTGAAACCCCGTCTCTACTAAAAATACAAAAAAATTAGCCAGGCATGGTGGTGAACTCCTGTAGTCCCAGCTACTCAGGAGGCTGAGGCAGAAGAATCACTTCAACCTAGGAGGCGGAGATTGTAGTAAGCCAAGATCACACCACTGCACTCCCGCCTGGTCAACAGAGTGATACTCTGTCTCAAAAAAAAAAAAAAAAAAGAAAAAGAAAAATTAATACATATGACTAACATGTATTACCAGTCCATTATTCCTCTTCTAAGATACAGTTAATGCCCTGAATTTTATGGTAATGGTTCTCTTTCTTTCTTTTAGAATTTTAAGTCATGTAGCTATTTCCCAAAATAATGTTCTTCAGCTTTTCTTGTTTTGATCTTTAAAAAACTGCATTCAGAATTCAGGCATTCTGTTCCATGGGTGTATATATACTAACAGTGGCATTTAGACAGGGTTGAATTTCAAAAGAAAACTCACAGGGCCCAAAATGAAAATGCTTAGAAATGTGTAGTTCTTGTCAGAAAAAGAATTCAAAATAGCAACATCATTAAAGGAAGGATATCCATTAGAGACTGCCTCACAGAGAATCTGAGGAAACCAGTCACAAACTTCAATCATTCTTTCCCTGGAAGCATCATACTGCAGATGCTTTTTCTTGGGAATCAGGAACCACCCGTGTCTATATAGAATACCTGAGAAACAAGGAGAGAAAGTGGAGTCTCTTCCAGTGTTGTTCATATACTGCTTGTCACATAGAGATATTTCTGCTGTGAGTCCTAACAGCAAAGCCCTTCTATTTTTTCATACTACATGCAAATCATCAGTTTTGTTGTTATCAACAAACAATCCTGAAAATGTGGTACCAACTGCCACAATACTCTTTAGACCCATGGTTACAAAGCATCATTATTGATCAAAATGTTTTATGCCTTGACCAGAGGTCAGTTCTTTCCTTATTCAAGTAAAACAGCTTAAACTAATTTCAGCCTGGTAGAATTAACCATTACAGCACATTGCATTTTTCCTTTCCTGTACAAGTGGCAATCTCTGTTTATCTTTTTTATAATCACAATATTTAAGACAACACCAACAGGTTTTTTTTAGCAGTGAGCTGGTTAGTCTTGATATCTTATCCTTCTATAATCAATTTTAAAATCAGCTTATTAAGTTATATTGCTTCAAAAAGAAAAATAAGCAAAAAGCAAAACAATACTGTTCAGATGTTAAATGAATTGCACTGAAACTATAGGTTAACTTTGGAAAGTTAGCATTTCTACAATCTGGAGTCTTTCTATCAACATTTGTTTAGGTCTTCCTTAATTTTTTCCTTAAAGTCTAAAATTTTTTTCCTACAAGGCAAGAGATATTTTATTGGTTTACAGTTACTTCATATTTCTGTTCCATTAGAATATTTTATATAACACTTAAAATATTGTTATTAAAATATAAAAAATTGATTAATATATATTTATATTGGAAGTCTATTTCAAAAACTTGCTAAAACTGTTATTCATTCTAACATTCTACTCTGGGGTTTCTACATAAACAAATAATAATCAAAGCATAATTTTTTTATCTTTTAAAATAATTATTTTAAATTCTTCTTCCCTTACATAACTATATGACATTAAATACTTGCTAGAAGTTTCAGCACAATATTGAAATGAAAATATAAATGAATGATAATGAATATACTTTTTATGTATTAAAGAAAATGCCTTAAGTACTGCATAAGAGTTTAAGTTTTCTCTATTTTTCATATTATGTTTGGTGCAAAAGTAACTGAGGTTTCTGAAAAAACTAGTTTGTTTAAATAGCCCTGTAAAATTTTAATTATAATAATCTGCACATACTTGAAGTGCAGAATTTGATTAGCTCTGCCATATATGTGTGTGTGAAAAACAATACCATATCAACATGATAAATATATCCATCACCAAAGGAGACTTTACCTGGACCCCTTTGAAATTCTTTTTCCTCTTGCCTCTTACCATTCTACTACATGTCCAGGTAATCTATTTTATACTAGCTCTAGAGATCAGTAAATCAGTGTGTGATATTTAACTATTTTTTAAATTAGATAACCTATTCTAACACAACACTCTAAGACTAGAAACATTATATACATTATATACTTAGGATAAGACTGTTGGAACAACAATGAGGCAGCTAGTGGCCTGGGCTCCATTTACAAAATTCCACCTCTGAATAAGGGTCTATAATTATGTTGTGTCTTTGGAGATCAATCTCACTTTAGAGCCAGTATTAGTTTTATTCTGGAAGATATTCACAGATATTCATATACCAACTCTCCAGTTTACATTCACCTTTTTTAGAGAATATGGTGTATTAGTTAGGGTTCTCTTAGAAGGACAGAACTAATAGGAGCTATATATCTATATCTCTATATCTCTATATCTATCTATCTATCTATCTATGTATCTATGTATCTATCTATCTGGGGGGAGTTCATTAAGTATTAACTATTAGCTTACATGATCACAACGTCACACGATAGGCTTTCTACAAGCTGAAGAGCAAGGAGAGCCAGTCCAAGTCCTAAAACTGAAGAACTTGGAGTCCGATGTTCAAAGGCAGGAAACATCCAGCAGGGGAGAAAGATGTAGACTGGGAGGCTAGGCCCATCTCTCATTTTTCATGTTTTTTTTTTCTGTCTGCTTGATATTCACTGGAAGCTAATTAGTTTGTGCCCACCAGATTAATGGTGGATCTGCCTTCCCCAGCCCACTGACTCAAATGGTAATCTCTTTTGGCAACACCCACACAGACACACCCAGGATTAATACTTTGTATCCCTCATTCCAATTAAGTTGACACTCAGTATTAACCATCACATATGGCAACATATCTTTCTGGATAGGACCTAGAGAAACTTTCAAATAATGACTTGTAACTTCTCTACACTGAAGGAATATATACACAATTTGTAATTTAATTTTGAGTGTATATTTGACAAAACTACATGTACTACAAATTACCCTTTAATTCAAATTGCCAAACCTCCCTCCAAAAAAAAAAAAAAGTAACATACTCAAACTTGACCATTGTATGTGTTTAATAAATAAGTTATTTTCTCAAAGATATAAACAAGGCCAGGACACCAATATGGAATAGTAAATCATTTTAGGCGTAATGAAAGCAAGAAGCCATTACTACTCTCTTTAAGGAATAAAGAGTTATTGCAGCTGAATAGCTACTGGAATTCAGTAAGAGCTGGAGCTAAAGGAGTGTCTGGCAGCAGCTGTGGGCTCCTATAATAAGAGCCAATGCTTCATCATGGATCCGTACGGAAGAGCCCCTAGGATAAGTTGCCTTTTCTTCTACTGGCAACTCTTTTGGAAATAATACAACTTTAAACTAATGTACAGGGAAATCTAAAGTTCCTAAAGTTCAAGCAGTCATTAGAGGTTTTCCTTCAGAAACACAGAGTATGATGGGAAGAATGGATATTAGGGCTTAAGGTACACCAAGTATATTCATCCTAGGAGCATACAAACAAAAAATAATTAAGGTGCATAAATTCAAATTTTTCTTTTATGATAGAGATTAAGATGTTTTGCTAAGTTGTATAATAGCATTAATTATTTAGAAAAAGCTACACGAGGCTGGGCACAGTGACTCACGCCTGTAATCCCAGCACTTTGGGAGGCTGAGACGGGTGGATCAAAAGGTCAGGAGATCGAGACCATCCTGGCTAACACGGTGAAACCCCGTCTCTACTAAAAATACAAAAAAGTAGCCGGGCATGGCGGTGGGCGCCTATAGTCCCAGCTACTCAGGAGGCTGAGGCAGGAGAATGGCGTGAACCCAGGAGGCAGAGCTTGCAGAGAGCTGAGATTGTGCCACTGAACCTGGGCGACAGAGAGAGACTGCCTCAAAAAAAAA